>NC_000006.12:18999393-19150909 GCF_000001405.40 Homo sapiens
CCCCAGCATCCATCTTCTTACATTGCTAGCTAGATAACCATCTTTATTGCTTGCCTCCTCTTTGCTGTCTCACTTTCCCATTCCCCAACCCATGTTTTCCTTTACCTTATCAGTAAACTACTTGGACCTTACTTTGGTTTTCTGTGGTGGCCATGAGAAATTGACATAACAAAAATGTATTCTCCTACAGTTCTAGAGGCCAGAACTCCTTTTGCCAGCTTTACAGGAGCATCGTTGCTTACCTCTCCCAGCTGCTAGTGCCTTCACAGATAGCTTGGCTTGTGGCAGGATAACTTCAATCTCTGCTTCCATCATCACATTGCCTTCTCCTCTCCTATAGTCAAAGATCCTTCTGTCCCCATTTTCTAAGGGAAATTGTCATTGGACTTAAGGTCCCCTAATTAAAGATAATCTCATTTCAAGAACCTTAGCTTAATTACATCTCAAAGGTTCTTTTTCCAAATAAGGTCACATTCACAGGTTCTGAGCAGATGTATCTTTTGGAGGAGAATGCCATTCAACTCACTGTAGATCTGAATCCTTGTCTAAGTGTATGCTTCTGGAGGGAACCCAAACTATGACTTTTGGGTCATGTAAAATGAGTTTAGATTGTTTCAGTTAGTTAAGAGTTCACAATTTAGTGACTAAGATCCAGACCCATCCTTTCTTCTGTGGATGCTCTCAGAAGACTGCTGTCTGTACAGAGAAATGGTTTCTATTTCTTAGTCTCAACTTGGCTTCTATCCAATTGAAATAAGTAATGAAGCAAATTTTCATTCTTATCTCTAAATGTTTACAGTCTTTGGAGCATTTCTATAGTAAGAGGAGAAGTGAACCTCATTACTCCAGAAAGAATTACTTTTCTTCTTTATCTCTTTTTTATTTTCCATGACATTCTTTCCCAATATATAGAAGCATGTCTGAATCCAGAATCCCCAACCTCTCCTTTTAGGCAGGTCACTTCTCCTAAAGATTAATGCAAATGAAGGTCTTGCACAAATATCTCTAATCAGCGTCAGACAAATACCAATCAGGTTCTTTGTGCTCTGGCTCAGTAGGGTGCTATTAAGATGATTGAAAACCAGACCTGTGCATCCCGCCAGCACTAGTCCTGCCCTGCGCAGTCACATCATGGTGATCTTCTCCACTTTTCTTAGCTGCCAGCCCAGTGTGGTTGATCATCTGGAGAAAAACAATGCGTATTGGGACTCAAACTATGGTGTGGTACAGATTTTGTTTTGAAACCCCACTTTGAAAATATCCTGTCTGTTGTATGTACAGCAAAGACTGCTGATCATAATTAATATGCATTCAATTTTGTTTATGCTTAAAGAAAAGATATATTCAGAAAGCTTACCTGCAATGTACATAAGAACATGTCATAATTTAAAAGCTATCTTGGCATGCTGCGCTATACAGAGCAGGATGCTACATCCCACAGACTACCATGGTGCTTAATTCCTAGCCTAAGAAACAGAAAGAGGGCAAATGTTCTGAAAAATGGACCTCCACCCCAAAATACGTATGAACATATATAATATTATAATATATACTATATATAATGTGACTAATGATAAATATATATAATATGTGCATATTATGTATTACAAACACACATATATACCTATTATATTATGAACATGTATTATATATACACATAATACAGCATACTTTATATATAATATCAGAGCATGTATGTGTTATTTATATATAACTTATTTGAACCTCAATCTCCTCATCTATAAAATGAGGGTTACAATATCTAACTCTATGATTAGTTTGAAGATTAAATTAGTTATATAAATAGTGTACTTAAAGCCTAGCATACAAGAGGAACTCAATTGTAGTGAGTTTCTTTTTCCTGACATTTATGCATTTAAACCAAATACATGGAAATGTAACCAGGTAGAAAAATTTTAATATGTATTACTTTCAATGGTTACCAGAGAAAAGAATCAAGGATCATACTTATTTTCTAAGTGGAAGAGTCTAAATTTATTTCCAGTATATCAAGGCATCAAAAATAATTGAGTTAATTTTCAGTCTTTCTCTGCTTTCACCATATCTATTATTTAATACCATCTATAAATATTCAGAATTCTCTATTTCATTTTTATTCTGAAATTTTCATTCCAGATATTACCAGGTTCAGATCTGTATACATCATCTGTCTTTTTAAAAAGAGACTAATTAATGTACTTTATTAAACTGGACTATTTTTAGGTTTGCTTTTATTTTTAAAATCTATGTTAGTATACACAAAACATTTAGTAAACAGAACCATAAATGAATTATTATTACATTTGTGTAGTGAATTAAAGAAAACTTCAAATTATTTGATATTCCTCCCATCAAGAGTTAAGGTCTACACCCTTCCTCTTGAATCTGAATGGTTTCTGTGACTGTTTAACAAAATTGCCAAAACAATGCTGTACTGGCTCAGGCCTTAAGAAATTAGCAATGTTCCCTTCTGTTCTCTAAGAATGCTGTCTCCGGGCACCCTGAAACACCATGTAAGAAGTCCGATTACTCTAAGACCACCGTGATGGAGAGAGGGGTTACTTGCAGGTGCTTCAGTTGATGGTCACATTGAGCCCATACCTCCAGCCACCCCTGCCAAGATGCCAAACATGTGAGTGGCATCATCTTCAGCCCTCTATGTAGTACAGCCACTAGCTGAATTCCACTAATGCTCCTCAGTTAATGCCACAGGGAGCAGAACAGTTGCCCTGCTGGGCACTGCCAGCATTCCTAACCCCTAGAACTGTGTCATATAATCAAACATGGACTGTTTTAAGCTACTAAGTTTTGGAGGTAATTGGCTACATAACAATAGATAATCACAACAATAGATTTACCAAAAGGGAGTACAATGTGTTTCTCTCACTATAGGAATTATTAGTATGGATTCAGAGGATGTGTTGTGATTGCCAGTAAATTGAAATGGATCAATAGAATAAAAAGAAACTATGATATTTTTAGCAACTAAGATAGTTTTATAATTACTTGTTGGCCATCTTATTCAAACCTGGGAATATTTCATGATCAATGCTGATGTAAAATATGGTTCTTCTAAAAAATATTCATTTTTCAGGAAATTATTACGAATATCTGATTCAGACCTCTGAAATTCCCTTGTGAGGCTGTAAATATGATAAGTTAACATCAGTTTTACTTAAGTTGTAAAATATTCCTGAAATAACTGACATTATAACAGATTCAATGTAATACTGTTCTCTGGTAACACTACAGTTCAGAAGTGAGTGATAAATTAAGTTTTGTGGAACACCAGGTACTATTTGTAATGCTTTTAATAATTTTTATATTTAGAAAATAAATACCAGAGGACAACAAGAGAGTGTAATAATTACCTAGGTCAGCTGAGTATTGAGACATGTTGGGAATACTTAAAATATAAGTAGTTAAGATGAATTGCAAATGGATTCCTTGCTTGAAATCTCCTTCACTTCACTTTCCACCTCTGTCAATTATTCTCCCCTTTCTTTATACTGCACATTTCCCCAGGATAATGAAGTGGGTATTGCATCTATTTTCAAGGCTTTAGCCATAAAACGTACATTCAAGACATAAAACACATTTGAAGAGACCCAGATTTATATTTCTACTCTTGTTCTTTTCACTAAGTTCTAGACCTATATTTTCAATTGCATAAAAATATGTCCTGACTCTCTAACACCACAAACATGTCCAACATTAAAAAAAAAGACTCATTAGATCCAACTGCATAATCATTCAAATCTATCAAGCTAGAAACTTTAGGGTGACTTTTATCTTCCTCTTCCATCATCCCACAGATAATTGAACTTCCAATCCTGTGATTTCTATCTCTGAAACATTGCTTCTAGTCTGCCTCATGTCCCTCTCTCCACACAATTTAGGCTCTCATCATCTATTTTCTGCACTTGTGTGATAATCTCTCTCTCTGTAAAGGCAAATCACTTCCAGATTTGTTTTTAAAAACATGTCCAAGAGAAAACAAAATACAGCAAGAAAAATGTTTCCTTTCAACATAATGCTATAAAAAGCCATGTCCCATCTGAGAAAATGACATGCTTCCTTCATTCTAATTAAATTACTGCAAAAATGTTTAATGTGAATTTTATTAAATTATAAATGACAGAAGTATGCACGAATCATAAGTGTACAGTTCAGTGAATTTTCAAAAAATGAACACACTAGTAACTTTTAATGTGTAACCACCACACATAAAAAAAGAACACTAGCATTGCCCAAAGCCTCTTGCTTTTTCTCTTCCCAAAGGTAACCACTCGTAGGACTTCTATTGTTATCAATTAGCTTTTTCAGTTTTTGAACTTTACATAAATGGAATAATGGTATAATTCACTTGTGTCAGTTTTCTTTTGTCCAACTATAAAGTTGATGTTTATGTTACGTATAGCAGTACTTTGTTCATTCTTGTTGTTACATACTATTCCCATTGTGTGAATATACTACAGTTAATTTATCCAGTCTGCCATTGATAGACATTTGAATTTTTCAGTTTTAGGCTACTGTAAAGAGTGCATTGTGAACATATTTTACTCATCTTTGGGTTAAATATATATGCAATTTTATTAGCTATGTCCCTAGGAAGGCAACTGTTGGGTTGTAGAAACGTTCATATTTACAAATACTGCTAAATGCTTTTCCCAAGTGGTTATAGCGTTTTTTGGTTTCTTGTAACAGTATATAGGAGTGTCTCTTAATTCAAATCTTAGTAGCAGTTTGTGTCATTAGTATGTTCAATCTTAGCATTTAGTGAGCATATAGTTTTATTCGTTGGATTTAAATTACACTCTGGGCTGACTAATGAGATTTGTTCTATTTTTATATGTTTTTTGATGATTTGAATACGTTTTTTGATGAAATGCCCTTTCAAACATTTTAAACATTTTTTAAAAGTTGGTTGGTTGCTTTGACTTGATTTTTTGGTAGAAGTTCTTTACATATTTCACACATGATTCCATTCTCGACATATGCATGGCAAGAATTTTTTACTCTGTGGCCTGCCTTATTACTCTTATGAATCTTTTGATAAACATAGGCTTTTCATTTCAATATGATCCAATTTTTCAAGGCTTTTCATTTTGGTTAGTTTTTCTTTAAAAAAAACCTCTGCCTAGATGCGATTTTTTAGAATGGTTATTAATTTACCTTTAACTGGCTGGGCACTATGGCTCACTCTTGTAGTTCCAGCACTTTGGGAGTCTGAGGCAACCAGATCACTTGAGCCCAGGAGTTTAAGACTACCCTTGGAAAATGGCAAAACCCTATCTCTATAAAAAATACAAAAAAATTAACTGGATGTGGTGATGCATGCCAGCAGTCCCAGATACTCGGGAGGCTGAAGTGGGAAGATTGCCTGAGCCCAGGAGGTTGAGGTTGCAGTGAGCCAAGAACGTACCACTACACTCCAGCCTGGGTGACAGAGCAAAACCCTATCTCAAAAAGAAAATTACCTTTAACTTTTTGATCTATGGACCATCTGGAATTAATTTTTGTGCATGGGGTGAGGTATGGATAAAATTTACGTTTTTTCCATATAGATATTCAATGAACCTAATGCTGTTTATTGAAAAGGCCATCTTTCCGGGCGTGGTGGCTCACGCCTGTAATCCCAGCACTTTGGGAGGCCGAGGCGGGTGGATCATGAGGTCAGGAAATCGAGACCATCCTGGCTAACACAGTGAAACCCCGTCTCTACTAAAAATACAAAAAATTAGCCGGGAGCGGTGGCGGGCTCCTGTAGTCCCAGCTACTTGAGAGGCTGAGGCAGGAGAATGGCGTGAACCCAGGAGGCGGAGCTTGCAGTGAGCCGAGATCGCGCCACTGCACTCCAGCCTGGGCGACAGAGCCAGACGCTGTCTCAAAAAAAAAAAAAAAAAAAAAAAGAAGAAAAGGCCATCTTTTTTTCACTGTGGTATAGTGGTATCTCTTTATAAACTGATTATTGCATATTTGAGTGCATTTCTTTATTCTACTAATATTCTTTATTAATATTTATTCTATTCCATTGATCTATTTAGCTACCCTTATAATAATACCATGCTGCCCGAATCATTATAGCTTTAAAGTAAGTCACAAGATTTCAGAGTAAGACCTCTAACTTTGTTCTGTTTCTTCAAAATTATCTTGACTATTTTTTTTTTTTTTTTTCTGAGACGGGGTTTTGCTCTGTCACCCAGGCTGGAGTGCAATGGCCTGATCTCAGCTCACCGCAACCTCCGCCTCCCAGGATCGAACGATTCTCCTGCCTCAGCCTCACAAGTAGCTGGGATTACAGGTGCCCGCCACCACGCCCAGCTAATTTTTTGTATTTTTAGTAGAGATGGGGTTTCACCATGTTGCCCAGGCTGGTCGTGAACTCCTGACCTCGGATGATCCACCCGCCTTGGCCTCACAAAGTGCTAGGATTACAGGCGTGAACCACCGTGCCCGGCCTATCTTGGCTATTTTTTGACCTCATAATTTGTACACAAATTTTAGGATGGGTTTACCTACTTTCACAAAACTAATCAAATATTAATTCTGATTGTTTTATATTTATGCTTCAATTAAAAATGTTTATGTTTAAAATATGGAGTCTTTCAATCTATGAGTATAGCGCATTCCTTCATTTACTTAGGTGTCTATTTTCTCTCATAATGATCCTCATTTTGTCATAGCAGATTGTAGTATAGTCTCAAGGCTCTCTCCTGCCCACCTTATTTCCCTCCATTCCCCATCATTTGTGCATCTTTCTAAACTCTTTGAACTTTGTAGCATGTCTAGAATACAAAAGGCTATTTCTTACTTCCTTGCCTTTGCATGATATTTTTTTTCCTATTTCTCAAAATTTTTCTTCTCTTCTGTGTCTTGCAATTTCCAGAAATAGTTGAAAACAAAGCTCAACTCCAATTGTCTCTGTTAAATCTTCCCTTGCAGAGTAAATGATATTGTCCTACAAGCACTGATAACACTTTTCCTATCACTGTATTTAATTAATTTATATCACTGTTTCTTCCACTAAAATGAACTCCTCAAGGGGCAAGAACTGCATTTCATTTGCCTTTGTGCCACCAGTACCTTGCACAATTCTTAGCTGAGCAAGAGTTCAACTAGGCCAGGCACAGTGGCTCATGCCTGTGATCCCAACACTTTAGGAGGCCAAGGCAGGAGGATTGCTTGAGCCCAGGAGTTCAAGACCAGCCTGGGCAACATGGCAAGACCCTCTCTCCATGAAAAAAAAAATTAAGAGAAAAAAAATTAGCTGGGTGTGGTGGCATACGCCTCTGGTCCCAACTACTTGAGAATCTGAGGCAGGAGGATTGCTTAAGCCCAGGGGTTCAAGGCGGCAGTGAGCTGTGTTCATGCCACTGCACTCTAGCCTGGGTAACAGAGCAAGATTATCTCAAAAAAAAAAGTTTAACTATTATTTGCCAAATGAATGAATGTGTCCTCATTAGCTAATCTGAACCAATTTATGTACTCAGGCACACTAAATTAGACATAACTTTATATGACTTTCAGGTTTCAGTGTGTCTCAGGGTTACCTGGTATTTAAAATAAACTAAGAGAAAATATAACAAATATACCTTAAAATCCACATCTCAAGAAAAATCTAAGAAACTTCCTATTTCTGCGTTCCCAAGTCTATTGTAGTTTAGTTTAGTGACTCTTGTGTATTCCACCGAACGACTACATCAGGATCATATGCAGTGAAATATCAGATCCCCTGGCCCCAAACCTGAACTCAGAACTTCCGAATCAGAAAAAAGGGGCTTGAATGTACGCATTTCTTACAAGTGTCTGAGATAATACTCATCGACATTGACTTTTGAGATTCACGAGCCTAGAAATGGCCTTTTGAGTCATTCTTTTAAATGAAAGCCCTAGATCTGCAAGCAGAACTATCCTTTGAGGATTATGGCTTTAGCATCTCTCCCTGGCTTTCGTTCCCTCTGGGAGGAGGCAGAGTAGTCTGAAATTAGGCTTCCAGAATTAGAGTAGTCTGAAGGCTTTAGCAGCAGGCTGTTTCAGTTAAAAACATAGAATATGTAAGAATCTAATATATCAGAGCTAAGGATAAAGGGAAGCCTAAAGAGAACTGTGTCCTGTTATTATTACGGAAATCCTCCATATTGGATGCCAATCCAGGTCAAAGTTGATTGACTCCTTAGTTCCTGTCCATCCTAGTTTAACCATTGTGTTTCCACCTGTGGTGACATGGACATGGTCCAGAAACTGACACTTCCAATTCTATTTCAATTTTAAGAACACTTAAAGAGCAGTCCCTGAGGGTCAGGATTGGCCATTCGTGGTAGTCCATATAAAAAGCAAAAGAAGAAGTAAGTGGATTATTTCTTCCCCATCCAGGGCACCATGGCCATCTGGATTGCAGATATACAGGTGTGTGTGTGTGTGTGTGTGTGTGTGTTTGTGTGTGTTTTCTAGAAAGAAAATACTCATTTCTTGTCCCCCTTTTCCCTTCAACAATGTAAGCCATTTTATTCCACCCAGGAGCTTTGTAATGAAAAAGGTCCCTTGTCTTTTGATGACTTCCAATGAATAATGGTTTGTAACACTAAAATGCCAAACTGCAGGGAAATGGAGGGAACTCGGTTGGTTTACAGGTAAGCAAAGTCAGAACTAAGTAAAAACCCTTTAAACTCCTGGGCAGAATGCCAACTAGAAGAATATTTCAGCATCACCTAATTATGATAAGGATTTTTTTATTTCTTCATTATAAATATCTTTCTACACTCACTTTGGCTTCCTGAAGTTTGCATGCTCAGAGATAGGTGAATAACAGCATGAAGAGAGAAAACTGTGCTGCATTTGGAATCAAAGTGTTCAATTATTGGGAGAATGTAGTCCCTGGGACATATGCTGAGGCAGTAAGGGCTGGTCCATTTCCAGATGGAGCTCTTGCACCAAAACCACAGAAGGATTGTGAATTTGATTTCTCATCTAACAAAGCTTCATTTCAAATACAGCTTCCTGAGGATCCTGCTCTGAAACAGATTTACAAGAGAGCCAACAAAGACCGTGTAAAAATAGTTCTAAGCAAAGATCATGTAATAAATGCATAATAATCTCTAGTATCTGTAGACTACCATAATTATCACTAAGTCAAATTACTCAATAATTCCAGACCAATGCTTCCATTGCTATTTGAGGGAAGATACTGATCACAAACGTGACAGTTCTTCTTTGGGGACAGGTCATATCAAGGTGTCAATATTAAGATGAAGCTTCCTTGAAACTTCTCTAATGTTGGAGCGTGATGAGCTTTAGAAAAATGGTGATAAGTAAAAGGGACCTACACTTCCCTACGATATTCAAAAGATCTTCTGAAATTAGCAGATATTAAAGAGTCATGAGCATGAAGGGTATAGTCTAACCCAATACCGGCTGCACAGTTAAATGTGCCTAAAATGTGACATATATCGGTGGTATCAAAATTTCCAGCAAAGGAATAGAGACCCCAGTGCTCGTGAAATCATGAATTGCCCACAGTCAATTCCAGGACGAAATTTACTCACATGGAATGATATTAATATTTGCTCAGAGTAGACTATTAGTTCTCAAAATATTGTGAAAGCAAATATGTCAGAAACACTAGAGGCAATTCTCTGATCACTGACACAATGTTCATCTTAGTAAAGGTATGATAGAACCTGAAATTAATTTTGTTAATTCTATATGTGAAACAAAGATGAGGTGTCTAATATGAGTCCCAGCTGCAGTGAGTTGAGATATAGGCGGGATAATGAATCATCTGATGTCTAATGTACATCATAATCATTATATCACTGGCAGAGCACAGGCAGTGTCTCTCAACCCAGGTAGCCTATGCTGGGGAGTTTTAAAAATATTGATGACTGTGGTTCTCCCCTCTTATTCTTATTATTTAATAAATCTGGGGTATGCCCTGGGAATCAGTATTTTTTAAAGCTCCCCCAGGTGACTGTAATGTACTACCAAGGCCATGTGCCACTAATCACTGGTGTAGGGCATTGTTTCTCAACTTTGTACATGTTAAAAATCACCTGAGAAACTTTATAAATATCCCAATGTAGTCTGTATCCCAATGTAGTCATCCCAGACCAATTAAATCAGAATGAGAAACTTCTAGATATAGGATTAAAAAAAAAGAGTCAGCCTAGGTCATTGCATTTTGCAACCAGGGTTGGGAGTTACAGACAAAGGGTTAGCTTTCTCACAAAGCAAGTTAAATGCATTTTAGTAGCTTTCTAATTTAAAGAATTCTTGCCTGTAAAACATTATTTTGATTGTCAGGAGTCTATCATATATATGTATACGTATTCATTCATACACATACGCTCATGATGGGATTGCATTGAACTTGAATATTTGTATCAGAATTTCAACATCAGAAAATACTGGCAGAAAAGGCACTGGAGTTTCTTTTTTCCTTTTTAATTTGTAAAACTGGGACAGATGATTCTCATCTCAGGTTCTGTGAGTAGAAAATCTTTCCTCCAGGAGATACTGTCATTCAGCTGTTCAAATCCTAACGTGCTTAAAAATTGCTGATGTGCTACTTTTTTTTCTTTCCAAAGGAGTTGGTTATGAAACATCTAAAAATGAAGCATGAAACAAAAGAGAGAGTTAACTTATAATTGCTCTGTTGAAACATTTCGTGCAGATCTTGGCAGATTGGTGAATCCATTTGCAAATCTCGAAATTTGGAAATCAGCAGTTCTTAGGTATACAGAGTCATTATATTCAAGGATTATGTCACTGTATTTGCAAATGCTAAGTGGGTTTTGAACAAATGAAAGATTGAATAAAAGATTAATTAATATTATATGTACCAAACGTATCACTAGGTGCTTCTAAAATCTTTTACTCATGTAACACTGATAAAATTTCTGTGATTCATAATTTTATTATACATGTTTTTAAAATTAAGAAAATGCAAGCTCATAGAAGTTAAGGAATTTTCTCAATATCATACCACTACAAAGTATCAGAGATAGATGATCTCAGATCATCTGCTCCATTGAAGGGCCAGTTTTCGTTAATATGTCCAATAAGGTTTTTTTTCTCCTTATTTCCTCTATCTCTACATAACTAACATTTGTGAATGGCCTTCTATACCCTCATTTAATTGATGATAAATGCACAATATGGTCTCCATTAACCAGAACTCAAGGGATTGTGACCTTCTGCTGGTGTCAATCCCTTTGCTGTTCCAGTTTCTGTTAGATCATCCTAAAATGTATCATTTAGAAATTTTGCCTTAGTAGGTACAGGTCAGTGAATAAAATTTCTACTTTGATGATTTATTGCTTTTCAGAGCCCACGGGGAAAATCAGGTACCACTGTAAAACATAGAAAAAGATAAACTTTTTCAGGTCATTTATGAGTTCCTCCTAAAAGCAATGTTCAGGAAAATATTAAGTTAATCAAAACATCATATAATATTTTATTGATAGCAGAGGCCAAATGTTTAATTTTATGTATCTTCAGTACATAGCAACATAACTTCCATCCAGCAGGCAATTGGCAGATTGTTGTGGCAAGGATAGCAATAGAGATTTGAGGCTTTCTGATATTACCTACCTATACCAACCGTTTCTCTAATTCTATTTTTTTATTTTAATCTCAGATATGCATAGGCACGGACACACAACATTATGGAGGGAAAAGAAAACCTCTTGTTAAATACTTTTACCTTGAAGAGAAAATTTCATTCTCCAAGAATGCTTATATATTCAAAGGCTTTAAAAATAATACTTTTAAGTCTGGGGTAAAGGATGCTCAAGTGTTCATCTGGAAACAGCTGGACATTCTTAGAAAATGCCTCTTTTACTTATCCCTATTCATTCCCACTATGTTAGTTTCCTATTGTGCTGTAACAAATTACCACAAGCAATGATGTAAAACAACACAATTTTATTATCTTATGGTCTGTAGGTTCAGATCTCTACCATGGTTCTTACCGATCTAAAATCAAGGTGTTGGCAGGGCTATATGCCTTTCTGGAGGCAGAATCTGATTCCTTTCATTTTTCAGCTTCTAGGGAATGTCTTCATTTCTTGGCTAGTGGTCCCTTCCTCAATTTTCAAAGCCAACAACAATACATCTCCCTGATATTTCTTCCATTCTCACATCTCTCTCTCACCTCAACCAGGACAAGGGATTAGGTTGGGCCCAACTGTACAATTCAGGAAAACTTTTTCATCTCAGGGACCTTAACTTACCTGGAAAAAGAGCCTTTGCAGATTAAGGTAACATATCCACAGGTTTCAGGAATTAGAGGACAATATTTGGGGGGAAAAGGGGCAATGTTTTGCCTACCACACCCTTTTTTATCCAATGTCCTCTAGCCTTCTCTCTTTTCTAATATCTTCAGATTTTTTTTTTTTTTTTGTGGTGCTGTGGGGAAAACTACATATTTGCTGCAGCCCAAAGTGGCATTATTGGTATAAGGAACTCTGAGATCTGAAATATCTCTTCATGATTTTGGAGGCAGGAAATTCTGGGACATTTGAAGAGTGAAAAATCTCAAAGATAGATCAGTTGTAACAACCAAAAGGAGAGACGAAAAGATTGGAACAGAAAGCAGGATGTGAACAGACTATTTATGAGCACTGGGCATGGATCATCAGCCTCTCTGAAAGGAGAGGAGGCAAGGGTAAAACTTTCTCCAGTATATCGTGTCAAGGATGCTGCCCTTCATTGCAAAGGCTGAAGGGGAAGAGCAGTCCACTTCCTTTTGCAGATGGTGGGATATTATTCCATGGTGGTGCTCAACTCTTCTGATACCTGTAAGACTTCTCTCCAATAAACTAGAGTGAAGTGAAAAGATATTTAAGTTAAACAAAAACCAAATCTCTCTTTTCTCCTTCATATTCATCTTCTTTCCAACCCACCTCTGTAAAGGTACAAGAGCCCACTTGTGTTCTACAGTAATTGCCATTAAAGCAGACCTGCATTCTGAGACACAGAAGAGAATTAAGTGAACAAGGAACAAGTCCCTATTATGTGTCAGACCCTCTCCCTCTCTCTTAGTTCTTTTAATATTGAGTTAATATTGGTAAGCTTTTGGAAGGAATCTCAGGATGAATAACACTTGAGAAGTAGCAGTGAGAGATTTGAATTTAAGCTCTTTCTCCAAAGACCTGTTTTTTTTTTCCCTCCCCAAAACTGATTAGGCAGCGGAGCAGGCATTGGCTGAAATTTTGTAATATTGATTAAAGTTAAGATGTAGGCAACAATGAAGAATTACTAGTTTTCCTTAAAGTTTTTTAACATTTTAAGAACAGTATTTGGATGCAGAATACAATAAATGATTGCTATTAATATTTAGAGTCTTGATTTAAATTACCATTAAAGCCTTTCTTTCTGCACATTAGAAAAGCAGCCACGGCATGTACGCAATAATGTATTTCTCACTCAGCTTATTCAATGGTGCAACTATTATGTAAAAGGCTATGAGTTAATCTTGAAGAAGATGCAAAGTATAAAGGACATGATTTTGGCTTCAAAGATCATATGGCATAGGGGAGGATCACACAATAGAACAAATAAAATGAAAGGTAAAATATAAATGCCATAAGGGTGATGGTGCAAAGTGCTATGAAAATATATTATCCAAGGCACTCAGGATAGATTTCATGAAATGGTATTTGCTTCATCATAAGTTGTGACATATTTACAGGATCTGGCAAAACAAAAAACAAGAAGATGGAGGCAGTAATAGGCAGAGGCCTGAGGAGACAGATATAGATGGCTGATTAATGAGATTCCCTAGCGTTCCCATTGCCCATATGCTAGACTGAGTCATCATGATCAGTGGAGCTTCGCAGAGAAAACTTCAGATCACTGTAATCTGAGTCATTAGTCAGTTTCCAAAAATAAGATCATTTTACATAGGTAAAGATTATATGGTAGATTAATTGTAAAAATAGCCCAAACTTCCCACTGCTTTTCATATCCAAACTTTTTGCAATGTCATACAGCTTTCCTCATCAAGAGACTGCAGGGGTGGAGGAACGTATCTCTTTCTCCAACCCTTAAACATGGTTTGACCCTATGATTTGCACTGGCCAAAAGAATGCAAGTAAAAGTGTGTGTTGGTTCAAGAAGACTTAAACAATTCCACTTCCTTTTTTGGAAAATCGCCAAAACCATGGGACTAAGCATAGAGCACATGAAATAGGGCTAAGTCATTCCAGTTGTTTCAACTGAGTCCTGAGATATAGGAGACAGTCCAGCTAGAGCAACATAACTGGAAGTCAAAAAGGAGGAGGGGAATATAAATCTACTCTTTCAAGTTTCTTATAGTGTTATTGAAGTGGTATATTATTTGAAGGCAGACTCATCAATTAAAGATGCAAATGACTATTACAAAATAAAATGACATTATTATAGATACAGAAAATAAAAATAGTCTACAAGAAGACACAAAATGAAGTAAAAAAGAATAAAGAACAAATGAAACAAATAGAAAAATATCAAGAGGATTTATATAATACCAACTATATAGAAATTGCATTGAATTTAAACAGTCTAATTAAAAAACATTAGCTGTTAGACTGGGTTAAAAAGCAAACACAGCTATACACTGTCTACAAGAATATACTCCAAATATAAAAATATATTTCGTTTAATATAACATGCAGATAAAAATCAAGAGAAAATTAGAATGGCCATACTAATACTGATCAAAGCACATATCAGATAAAGGAATATTATCAGAAATAAAAAGGGACATTTCATCACGGAGTAAATTCACCAAGAGGGTATAACACCCTTAAATGTGTATGCACCAAATAACAGAACCTCAAAACATACCAGGAGAAAAATATTACCAAACTGAAATTAGCAATAGACAAACTCTCTGTTATAGCTGGCTATTTTAATACTTCTTTCTCAGTAGTTAATAAAACAAGTAGTTATAAATGTCAGTTGGATATTGAAGACTTGAAAAACACAATCACCAACTTCACTGAAGTAGCACTGTTGATGGAAATGTGAAATGTTTCAACCATATATATATATATATATATATATATATATATATATATATATATATTTGAATATAATTTTTTTTTGAGCCCGAGTCTCACTCTGTCACCCAGGCTGGAGTGCAATGGCACATTCTCGGCTCACTGCAACCTCCACCTCCCAGGTTCAAGCGATTCTCCTGCCTCAGCCTCCTGAGTAGCTGGGATTACAGGTGCACACCACCACGCCTGGCTAATTTTGTATTTTTAGTAGAGATGAGAGTAGACCATGTTGGTCAGGCCGGTCTTGAACTCCTGATCTTGTGATCCACTTGCCTTGGCCTCCCCAAAGTGCTGGGATTACAGGCGTGAGCCACCATGCCCGGCCAATTTCAACCACTTTGGAAAACAGTTTGGAAGCTCCTTATCTTAATATATATCCCTACCACTTCATTCCTAGGTATTTACCCAAGAGAAATGGAGCCGTGTATACACACAAAGACAAGTATATGAATGTTCTTGAAACTTATTAACTTCCAGCCCCAAAGTAGAAACAAGTAGTGCATCACAATAAACAAATTGTAGTATATTCACATGAGAGAAAACTACTCAGAAACAAAAATCAAGATCCACGCAACAAGTGGGTCTCTAAAAACATCATACTGTGCAAATGACCCAGAAGAGTTGATTGCTATGGTTCAATTCACATGAAATTCCAAAAAATGCAAGTGACAGATGTAGGTAAATACTTTCCCTAGGGTTAAGGAGGAATGAAGGCCCCTCATGCAAAGGGGCACAGATAAACTTTTTGGTTTTATGAAAATGTTCTATACCTTTATTATGAAGGTGGTTACACAGATGTATACAGCTGCCAAAACTCATTGAACTGTACACTTAAAATAGGTGTAGTTTACTGAAGGAGGGTCATACTTGTATAAGATTGATTATCAAAAAGAATGTGTCTTACCCCATTCTTAACACCAGCTCCATTTAGATAAATATAACATATACCCAGTGTGTTAATTAGGAAATAATGATCTTAAGAAAGAACATTCTGTAGAATAACATCTGGCTAGGTGAATTTATATCTTGAGATTTTTAATTAAAATTGGTGCTGCCTTCCTCTTTTCTGAAATGGAAATGTGAACACAAATGAGTTTCATCTAGAAGGGAAATCCACAGCTATTACAAGTTCCTTTTCTTGATTAAGATGATACAACAAGGAACACAAATGAAGCACCCAAATAAAAATAGACTGTCTATACTTGTGTTATTCCTGAATGTCTGATGAATGATGCATTGTGGTTACCTAGATATGTTAGCTACATGGACAACTGAGCACTAACCCCCTGCTTTATAATTCTTTCAGTCCTTATTGAACATGAAGAATCAAAAACAGAAAACATTCTAAGTGATATTTATAAGTGGGTTGAGAGATAGCAGAGAAAGAGACTATTTTAGCAAATGGAAAATAATAAATCTGGTTTCAGACATATTAAATTAGAGGTGCCTATAGAATCTCCAGTTGAAGATATCCAGTAAGTAGATAGTGCCACAAGCTTGAGCTTTAATAAAAGTCAGTGGTGCTGCTGGGGATATGGATGTGGAAAGAAAGATTGGGAGGTTGAAGAGAAGAGAAGGGGAAAGAAGGAAATGGTTAATATCTATTATATACTTTTTTAAAGTTGTATGGTTAAAGAAAGGAAAACTTAAAGAGAACTTGCTAGGGATAAAAAAGGCCAGAATATATTTCCCAGCTGAAGCATAGAAATTAGCAAAGAGAATTAAGTATAAGATAGAAACACTGGATTTGTGTGGTCTCCATGGAGATGGAAATGCAATAAAGAGCACAACCCGAGTGGCAACGTTGAATTTGAAAAGGAAGAAGATATTGATCTGGGGAATACAGGAAAGAGAACTGGCTGGATTCAAATTATTGTCTATCTTACACACACACACACACATACACATACACACACCACTCTCATATTTAAAGTTTGACAGCAAGAAAATTGAAGGGGCTTGAGAGGACAGAAAAAACTGGGGTAAAGTCAGAGGCTTTCTTACAAAGCTGACATTTATAAACTTGTAAAGGCCCACTCTGAAACTTTATTACAAAATTACTCAACAACACTGATGACCTGGAAGCAAGAGTTGAATGACAACTGGTTTATTAGGAATTTCATTTGGGATTAGTGTATGACCAATATAAGAGGAAACTTTCATATGACCTTTTGTGTTTGAAACTTGTGACATATCTATTGATTGGGCATCTAAAGATTGCAAAGCAAGGATTTGGGAAAACTTTTAGAGCAAGAAAAATAGTAGCTAATGGGGACCTTTTGGGTGTTAGAGAAGGAAATAAGGCCATTGAGTATGGAAGATTAATTTTCAAGGTGGATGTCCTGCTGGAGAGAGAAGGAATTCACTGGAGAAAGAACATTTAGTATGTTTAGGGACTGGAGAACTTGGAGGAACAGGCTCAGAACCAAGTTTATGTCAGAGGAAGGAATAGTGGCTGAAAATGTACTGTGAGAAGCTTATAAAAATTGTCTTCCTTATGATTTTTTATTTCTAACTACAGTTCTACATCTTCAGTACCACCTTCCTTTTTCCATCTCATTCAGTGCACTGGGACAATGGAAGAAGCAAATATAGATGTGAGGGAGGACAGTAGAGGCCATGTTTTCTTTTTGGTCCGTGGATCTCAAAATCAACACCTGGGACAATGGAAGAAGCAAATATAGATGTGAGGGAGAACAGTAGAGGCCATGTTTTCTTTTTGGTCCGTGGATCTCAAAATCAACACATGGGACAGGGTAGAGGGGAGGAAATGGATCAGAGGTGGGAGGTAGGAGTGAGAAGATCTGAGTAAAATTGGAAACTGAAAATAAGGTCCCAGTGAATGGTGATGGGAGCAATTTGAGCTTTAGGTTCTCCTAAGTACGAAATGGCCTTACGTTGGATATGTGTGTACGTGCCCCAAACCGACTATTCATTCTGTTTATTTACTACTAGTGTAAATATTCTGTGTATACTATCATAATGTTATTGTCATTGTTTTCAAGACTTATATTGGCTAAGTGGTACCGGGGTTCTGGGTTCTGGTCACCTGTGAGCCAGGAAATTTTTCATTGATATTCTCTCTGATCACTTCCAATCCTCTTTATTTCATACTTGGCTTTTAATATTCACTTGAAGAAGAAGAAAAATATATGTGTGTACATTTATATACACACATAAGACAGCTGAATGAAGCAATTTTGTATATCTGAGATCTGAATTCAGTGTGCTTGTCATTTAAACGCTCTATTTGCATGAGATGTATTAAATACTTCTTAAGAGAACAGGGCCCTAGGGGTCATATTTTCTTAAAACAAGACATATACTTCCATTATGTGCTTCTGTGTCTGAAAAGGATGCACAAGTTATATGTATGGAAGTGAAGAATAGTAATACTGAAATGCATCTTATTCCTGAAGGACTTTTCACAGTTGTGAACTACTTTACTTTGTATTACTCAAGTTGATTTTTTTTATCTCTGTGAAATGGTAATAGAGTTTTATGCCGATCACCATAATATAATGATGGCCTGAAATAGAGCAAGAGTTCCCATACAATTTTAAATGATTCATAGCCACTTATAGAATTGAGATCCTTATTACAACTTTTAAAAAGTAAATACAAATGTGTAAAAAAATAGGGCCAAGGTCTGTCATATCCTTATGTATCCAGCTACTATCAAGACGATAATCTCTGGCAGCTGATTAACATGGAGGAAGACATATGTAAGTTGAAAAAGTTCACTTTTAACGTGCTCTGCTAATGTCTCTCTACCTAGTAATTTGGTGAAATAATTTAGTGAGTGCTTCCACAGTAAATAGGTTTATCTTCAAACCTAATGCTCTTTTCCATCTTAACTGAGCATAAAATTATATCTTTAAAGATCTGCAAGTAAGAAAGGCTTGATGCCTCTTGAGCAGTTCAGTGTGACATATGGTTTTAAATGCAACAATTTTATCTGTATCACACAGTATCTGCAAATTTGAGCTAATGTTCCTGTGGAAACAAGAAGGGATTTATGCCCAAAACTAAAGAAGAAGAAGAAAGAATCTTTTTAGCTGCCATATGTAGAACACTGAAAACTGTATATAAATAGAAAACAATATTGACACTTATGCATCTATAATTTCTTTGGAAACATGTTTTTATGTCTAACTATTCAAACATTTATGGTAACAGAAACCTTGAATAAAAATTCCTACAGGGGTCAGGCAGGTAATAAATATACATGAGTGAAACAGGCCCAGTGAGGATTAAGGTAAACCTGAGCGGGTTGCCCTGTCTTAAGCTGGCAAATGTTTCACAAAATCCAACAGACTGTTGCTATGGAATACTGTTGGCCTGCGGTTGCCAGATCTGCCAAATTTTCAAGAGATGCCCCGTAATTTGATCTCATGTAAATTCTCACAATCATATTGGCAACAGGATTTATTTTTAACACAAAGTGTTTTAAAATAACTATTCAGGTCATAGTTGGCATGTGGGCTGCTGATTTGTAACCACTGATGTCTGATGTATGTTGTTAGATTAATGAAAAAACAAATGGTGGGAGGGTGGAAAGTAAAGGAAGAAGGGAAAAAGGAAGGAAAGAAGGGAAAAAGGGAGAAGAAAATCAGTTTTCCACAATATACATAAGGATTTTTTTTAATTTTTATGGGTACATAATATGTGTATATATTTATGGGGTACATGAGATGTTTTGATACAGACATGCAATGTGAAAGAAACACATCATGAAGAATGGGGTATTCATCCCCTCAAGCATTTATCCATTGAATTGCAAACAATCCCACTATACTCTTTAAGTTATTTAAAATGTACAGTTATTATTGACTATAGACTCCCTGTTGTGCTATCAAATAGTAGGTATTGTTCATTCTATCTATTTTTCTTAATACCCATTAAGCACCCCCACTAGTCTCAATAAAGAAAATATCAGGAGTTCTAATTTGAATTTTAATACGAATGAAAATAAAGTTTATTAAAGGATATATGAAACTGATTAAGCCTTGGAACTTCATTTCTTTCTGATGAACTGTATACACCTGGTAAAGAGTGCAAACCTCAGATAGACCATGGAATTGATTTTGTATATTGTGTGAGACAGGGATTAAGATTTATTCTTTTCAAAATTGATATAATATTGACCTCATACCATGTATTGAAAAGACCATTCTTTCCACAATAGTCAACAATGTCATCTTTATTGTAAATCAAATCTATATATAATATACAAATGTATACACACACACATTGACATCTACAGGGAAAGAAAGAAGGAAAGAAAGAATGAAAGAAAGAAAGAAAAAGACAGAAAAGAGGGAGGAAGGAAGGAAGAAAGGATAGTTCTTGACTCCATGTTATATTCCATTATTTGACTATTGCAACAGTACCACACTGTCTTGATTAGTGTAGTTTCATAATAAGTCATATTTGGTAGTGTCTTTCCACTTTGATGGTAGTGGTGTTTTGTTTTGTTTTTTTCCTAGAATGTCTTGGGTGTATGTAGCCGTACATATTAACATATACATTTTAAATGATCTTGTTAATTTCCAATTCCTTTGGAAAGCATTTGAGTACATAGTTAAACCTGTGTACCCAGGCACTCCACTTTAAGTACCTTCCCCAAAGCACTGTAAGCATGATGTAGCAAAAGACATTCAAGAATCCTCATAACAGCACTCTGAAATAGGCAAAATCTAGAAAAATTAAAATGTTCAATACAGTAGAATGAATACATTGTCTTATATTTATACAAGTAAATGCTACACATAGCAATGAAAATGAACTACTACTATAAGTAATGATATGGATGAATCTTACAATATTGAATTAAAGAAACGAGATACATTTGAGTATAAATTGTGATTCTATGTATACAAACCTTAGAAACCAGCAAAGTAAATTGATGGTATTAGAAGTCAGTATATCAGCTCTCTTTGGAGTGTAAGTAATGACTGAGAGTGGTATAGGGAGGGTAATTGGGTACTTGTAATCTTCTTGGCCTGTGTGCTAGTTACACAAGAGGATTTATTTTGTGAAAATTTCTCAAGCTGTACATTTATGATTTATGTACTCTTTTTCTATGCATCTTGTACCTCAATGAAAATTATTTGAATATATGGATATCATACATGAGCCATAATAGCTTCATTTTGGTTCTGTTTTATTTTGTTCTTACAGAGCAAAATTTGGGAACAAATGGAAAAGTCTGTGGATCCATAGTTTCTGCTATAACAAACAAAGCTTTTATGTTTATATTGCACTTCCACGTCAGAAGAACCTGTGGAAGAATCCAGGAAAATGCCTAGTGTCAATGTGAGGAAAGTACATGGATGGCAGCAGACTACCAGGTAACCCAGGAAAGAAACTGTGGAGGAAAAGAGAGAATAAGAGTGGACCAAATGGGCACCTGTATCCTAGACAGGATGTAGAAGTCATATAATTTTGCTTCGTGTTTAGTGAGAATTTTTCTTCCCTTTCCTTCCTTTTCCCTTCCATTTCCTTTCCTTTCCTTTCTTGAAACTTGTATTAACAGCAAACTCATATCGATGCAGCATCAACAGATGAAGCCAAATTTTGCACAAACATCGTAAGATTTCTAACTAACCACTTTAGGATATGTGTGACTTGTGTCCAGTGGCTTATTAGTGTGAACAAAATCACGGAATCAAACGAGCCTGACGACAACTGCATGGAGTGAGAGATTGGGTCTGGGCCACATGGCATACTCCTATTAGTTTTATATTATCAGTTAATAATAATCGTGTGTTACTGTCTCAACAACCCTGTCATGTAGACAAGAAAACGAATGCTGGGGATATTATGTACTTGATTTCAGGTTGTACTAGTGGTAAATCTTGGGCTCTTGCTGCCAAGATTTGAGCCTTTTTCTTAGACTGATTATTTTCAAATGCCTTTTATCTCCATAATTTTATTTTTAAGGAAACTAAAACGGAGAAGTGTAATGCAAAAAACAGACAAAATGGGGCTACTCTGAGTGAGGCTGCATGAGAAGAATATACCAAGGGCTCTTTGTCCCTCCCCTTCACCCTCTCCTTCTTGGTTTCCAGAGCCAGTCTCTCAGGTGAACCTTCCCTGAGCCTGTGTTCTTCTCAGATGGCAGAGTTTGCAGCAAGAGCTCCCATGTAGTAGTTTACTTTTGGATAAGTGGTTTACTTTTGGACTGGGAAGAGAAGAAGAGTTATATAGCTGGCCATCCCTGTGGGCAACTGGAATTCATTCCTGCTAGGACCCTCTGGGGGAATTATACAGAATAAGTTTCAGAAAATTGTCCTGAGGAATGGCAACTTGGGAATGTTTACCTACTGGCTCCTGCCTCCATTGGTCAAGCAATCCCCCTGGGAGTTTTAGCCCTCCTCACATTTCCAGTTTTGCCCCTGTGTGAGCACAGAGTAGGTTCCTGCAGGCGTCGCACGCAGCAGCCCGCATGGGAGGTGACGCACTCGGAACAGAAGGTGAGAGATGCATGGTGCCAATGAGGAGAGGAGCTCTCAGTCTCAACTTCCCCAAAGCTGGTTTGTCCAGGAATGTTGCTGGAGCAAATGGCAGTTTGAGAGATGGAAGGAGGGGTGCAAGCACTGAATACAAACCCTGGGTTAGGCTTTCTGAAACCTGTTTCACAGTGGCCCACTGCCTACATTAGAATCAACTGGCATGCTCCTAAACTGTAAACTCCTGGGCCATGCCCCAGAACTGCTGCATTGGAATCACCTCAGCTGTGATTCTGGAATCTTCATGTTACATGAACATTGTTAGGTGAGTTATGCACAGTAAAGTTTAAGAACAGCTATTGAACATTTGGATTTGGATTCAGCTGTGACCAGTTTTTGCTGGCTTAAACATCCTGACTCAGGGATACCTCTTTTATAAAGGGCTGATACCATTTCTTATCAGGCGAAGCAGTTGCTAATATTAAGTACGGTGAAACAGGAAGGTGATGGAACAATTATTGTGTAAATGGAGATACACACCCCACATGCTTGTATTCTCCTCGGGGATCTTCTCTATTCCCCTTTTCTCATACCTGCTTCAACTTCGAGCCTTTTGGGTTTTATTGAAATACTCTTGACATTTATGCTTGGACACTTGAAAAGTTTTTTCTCTTTACACTATTAAGCATTTTGTTGATTGACTTTGGCCTTTGTGCTTTCTCCAAATCTGTTCTTTTCCTTACCTTTCTCACTCTTCAGGGTATTTCCGGTCTAAATATTGGCCAAATAATTCTCTACGCTATAATTTATAAAATATTTCCTCTTGGGTCAGGAAAATAAGAGGTTTTATTGCAGTTCAGTTCCAAAAGTAGTAGACAGAGACTGGGTGTTTAAACAGGGCCTGAAGCAAGGTTTTGCCAACCTTTCAGAGGCTGCATAACAAATATTTTTTATTTGCTCCGTCAGGTGTTGGAGTTAGCTATAGCCTCCTGAAGGTCATCTCTGAGCCTTCACTCCCTGTTACTCACACCAACCTTTATGAGTCCCCTATGAAAATAAAATCACCCTAGGAGGGATCATACTAAGCTATAATCAGTTAATACCTTGCTTTTCAATTAACACTCTAGCAGGGATTATTTGAAAGTCGTCTGAGAACAGAAATAGAGGTAGGCTGGCACTTGGAAAGCCTGGTTAGAATAAGAAGAAAGAAAGAAAAAGACAGGAAATCTTTACAATTTTGTTTAAAACTGGTAGGTGGCCCAGGCACTCCAAATCACTTGGGCTGTCTCAGTTTTCCAACCTGTGGTTTAAAGGCACGTGATTGTGAAAATTTGGCTTTTAAGGAGAATCAGGGTCTTCTTGAAGAAACAAACAAATCCAGCAGATCATCCACCTACTCCCTGTTGTTACATATGGTATTATGCCCCTACCAGTGTATGACTACAGTGTATAGAAAGAGAGAGACAGAGACAGAGAGAGAAATGTCTTAACAATCCCCATGCTATCCTTTATTTGCTTTGTGTTCTTTGTGTTTATTGCCAACATAACTTAAAGGTAAGGGGTGCTTAAGTCAACAATATTGATGTGATGGTTGCTACTCTAGTGAGCTACTGGGACAGACCTCATGAGATAAATTACACTCATGAGATACATTCATGTTAGGATTAGGATTTTGAGCCTAGTCCTAACATAAAAAGAGCAGCATCTCCTCTCCAAAAGGACAAAAGCAAGTTGGTTGCTGTAATTTCAGGTAGTTCCTTGTGTGGTTATATTGTACAATCTACCTCTCCACATCTGCCTGATTAATGATTTTTGTTTACTTAATTTTAATACAATAGTACAAAAGAATATATGTGACATATGTATGTTTGTATGTATGTATATATATGTATATGTAAGTCAGGGGTCCTCGACTCCCAGGCCATGGATGGGTACTGGTACTGGTACTGGTTGCTGTTAGAAACTGACATAGCAGGAGGTGAGCAGTGGGTGAGCAGAGCTTCATCTGTATTTACAGCCACTTCCCATTGATTGAATTAACACCTGAGCTCCGCCTCCTGTCAGATCAGCAGTGGCATTAGATTCTCATAGGTGCGTGAACCCTACTGTGAACTGCACATTCAAGGGATCTAGGTTGCCTGCTCTTTATGAGAATCTAATGCCTGATGATCTGTCACTGTCTCCCATCACCCTCAGATGGGACTGTCTAGTTGCAAAAAACAAAAACAAACAGAAAAAAACAAGCTCAGGGCTCCCACTGATTTTACATTATGGTGAGTTGTATAATTATTTCATTAAGTGTTGTAATAGAAATAAAGTGTACAATAAATGTATTAATAATACCCTTGCATCCCCAAATTGTCCCTAATATCCCTGTTCTGTGGAAAAATTGTCTTCCATGAAACCTGCCCCTGGTGCCAAAAAGTTGGGAACTGCTGATGTAAGTTATAAAGTGTGATAGTGTAATGAGCAACTGTGAACCTATCATCCAATCGAAATATTCGAACATGGTTGCAATGCTTCCCTGTATTTATCCCCTGCTTCCATGCTGAAATATTCCCCTCATTTTGCACAAACAGTAACCAGTACTTTGAATTTTGTGTAATTATTGCTTACTCTACTTTTATACTCTTGTCATTTGCTTGTTGGTAGGCCTAAATAACAGATTTTTTCAGTTGTGCTTCTTTTTGAGCAGTTCATTAAACTTATTACATGGGATATCTTCTTATGAAATTTATTGTTTTTCACTTTGCATCATGGTTGTCTGTAGCTATCGTTCAATCGCGTGTTCCATGGAATAGCTATGTCACAACTGATTTATCTATTCTCCTGTTAAAGGAGAATTATGGCTTCCAGTTAGCTGTTGCTGTCATGAGTATACTCTTCTACATCTCCTATTGCACATCTATGCAAGTGTCACTGACACATATACCTAGGACAGAGTTTCTCAACCTCAGCAGTACTGATGTGTGGAGCCGGATAGCTCTTTGTTGTGGGAAACCGTCCTATGCATCGTAACAGGTTTAACAGCATCCCTGGCCTCTACCCACTAGATGTCAGTAGTGTCTCCAAGTTGTGACAACCAAAAATGTCTCCAGACGTTGCCAAAGGTATTCCAGGGGTCAAAATCACTTACCTAGAAATACAGCTGCTGGGTAGAGACAACATGTAAGTATTCACTTTCACAAGAGAAAGCCCAGTTGTTTTCCAAAGTGATTGTAACCACTTAGTGCCTACTGGCTTTCCCATTGATTCACTTCTTCTCTGATACTGGGTATTGTCAGATCTTCTAATCTGAGATAATTAAATAGGTGTAAAACTGTATCTTATTATGGTCATAACTTGTATTTCCTTGATTATTAGCTAGGTTGAGCACCTCATTATATCTGTTTTGGCCATGCTTCTTTCTCTTAACAGTGTTTTGGCTTTTGCCTGTTTTTCCGTTGGGTTGTCTGTTATTGATTTGTAGAAATTATGTATGTATTCTGGAATATATTAATCCTTTGTTGTTAAGTGACTTGTAAATATCTCCCTTTGTTTGCCATTTATTTTTCTTATTCTCTGATGGTGTATTTGCTGAACACAATTTTTAATTTTAATTAAAATATAAAAATTTAAGTTAAATACTACAATCTTAATTTAAATATTAAAATATGATAGGATTTTTTTTTATGGTTAACCTTTTTTACCCCAAGATTACAAAGGAATTTGCCCCTATTTTCATTTCTGGTTAGGACATGAAAAGAATAGCTCCTTCCTGACTTACTCTCTCTTGGATCAATTACTGTGATGGAAACCAGCTGCCATGTCAGGAGTACACTCAGCTGGCCTAATGGGAGGCCCACACAGAGAGGCACTGAGGTCGCCAATCAATAACCAACACCAATACAGCGCAGGTGAGTGGGTACTTTTGGAATTGGATCCTCCAGCACTCATGAAGCCTTCAAATGACCGTAAGTTTATGAGAAACCCTCATTTAAACCTAATACCCAATGTTATAGCATTAAGAGGTAGAACCTTTTGGAAAGTGATTAGGTTATGAGTGCTTTGCCCTCATGAATGGGATCAGTGCCCTTATGAAAAACATTGACCCACTCCCCAAATTCTAGGTTCTCCTATTCTGACCCTCAGAAAATGGCAGGGATAATGAATATTTATAGTCATTTCATAAAACTTTAAGTTTTAGAGTAATTTGCTATTCTGCAATAGATAACTAATACAGCTTCCTTTCTACTTTGCTAATGATCTTTGATTGTGAGCACATTACTTGATCTCTTTGGTGGAAATCCTGCAGCTCAAAAATTGAGAAGGCTTTCTTTCAGTCTGGGTATGCTTTCTGACTATGGCTTCTGTCATTAATAAACTTCTGTTTATCTTGGGTCAGTTCAAGAATTCTAGACTCAGATTCTCTAATATTTGCTCAAGACTTAGTAACCAACAGCATTGCTACTCTCCTGATCTACCCTTAGGTCACCCTGTTCCTCCTGACCCCTGATTGTTCTGATCCCAGTTCTTCACTGCAGTTCATATGGCAGGAATTTGGGGAGAAGGTTTGAAAATCTCCACCAATTTAAAGGCAAACAATGCTTTGAAGACTTTGTCCTATGTAATAGATAGTAACAGGAGGTTTTCAGAGCACCTAGTCAGCCATAGTGCTAAAAGCAGATAGCCAAAAAGATTTTCCCAAGGCCTTCTCATCTAGAGGAATGGAGCAGACAGCTTCTTTTCAATACATGGGCATTTGATATATGTTATCCAGGGCTTGTGGCACCATATGATGAAGTTGAAACCCTTCTTTTAAGCAACCATTGACCTACTGATGGACAAAAACAAACTGGTTTAGATGTCCCTTCAACATGAGGGTCCACAAATTAGACCTATATCTTCAGCCTTCTCAGATAACACATGCTAAATTATTTAGCTTGCTAAGTGCCAAAAATTCAAACCTCTAATCAGTGTCAGTTTTCCCAAGGCAGAATTTCTGGAAACTACTGACCTGGAAATATGATGGGAATGAGGATGGCCTCTGGCAATAACTCTCTTGCCTCTCTACATCTCAGTTACCAAATGTATAAAATGTAGACATGGTTTGAGATGACTGTCAAAATCTTTTCCAGCTCCCACAATTTTTAAAATATCTATAGATAATGTCCATTACCAGTAAAAAAAAAAAAAAAAAAAAAAAAAGATATATCAAATAGACCCCTCCTAGCTATCAAGCTGCTGAGGTGGTCAAGAAAGAATAAAATTATTTCCAAATTGCCAGTTATCAAGTCCACATTTCTTACTCACAGCCTTGAAGACCCTCTCGTTTTCTCTAAAAAGGCCTCAGATATAGCAGCACTTTTCAAATACTTGCTGCTGTGGTGTGAATGATACTGTCCCCCATAAACCTCATATATTGAAACCTAATACCCAATGTTATAGCATTAAGAGGTAGAACCTTTTGGAGAGTGATTAGGTTACGACTGCTTTGCCCTCATGAATGGGATTAATGCCCTTAGGAAAAACGTTGAAGGGAGTGCCCCTGCTCCTTCTGCCATGTGAACATGTAGCACCAAGGCACTATCTTTATTTAGAAACAAGGTCTCACTCTGTTGCCCAGGCTGGAGTGCAGTGGTGCTATCATAGCTCATTGCAGCCTTGAACTCCTGGGCTCAAGGGATCCTCCTGTCTCAGCCTCCTGAGGAGCTAGGGCTACAGGCATGTTCTATTATGTCTGGCTATATATTTTTTTACATTTTATTTTTTGTAGAGATAGGATCTTGATATATTGCCCAGGCTGGTCTCGAACTCCTGGCCTCAAGTAATCCTCCTGCCTTAGCCTCCCAAAGTGCTGGGATCACAAGCATGAGCCACCACACCTGGCCAAGGCTCCATCATTAAAGCAGAGAGCCCTCACCAGACACCAAAACTGCTAGCATTTTCATCTTGTACTTCCAGCTTCTAGAACTATGAGAAATACATTTCTGTCGCTTATAAATTACCCAGTTTAAGATGTTTTGTTATAACTTGAATAGGCTAAAACACTTAGTTATTAGTTAGCACATTAACAGGGAGGCACTTAAAGCTGTCAGAGACAACAGGAATGAGACTCTTGAGTAAGATAAGGGGCAAAAAGGTAGCATTAAAAGAAGTGAGAAGACAGCAAGTCAAACTTTGCTAAATTACTATTTTGCTCAGGGGCCAGCCCTGCTTTCAGAAAGGACTTTATACTCATTTAAAATACTGGTTTTGTATGCATGCACATGTATGTATAAATATTTGTATATTATGTATTCACAAGCAGGAAGAATCCATTGACAATCTGGAGGTTGTTTTGTCAGAGAACTTCTTCAGTGGAATCATGGTTTCTTCTTATCCTTTCTAAGCAAAGGGTATTTTTTGCAAAATGAAGGTGAGGAAGCAACTGGGATTTAGGTCTGCTGAGAAAGGCTTTGTCTTCACTTGCCTGGGTGAGTCATTCTTAAGCTGCTCCCACCTCCACCTGTCCCCCACCACGCTCTCAACTGTTGCCTGTGCTGTGATCTTGACCTTGAGCGCATTCCCTTGAGCGTACCTTGCAGCCCACTCTAAGGGTTGGTGACAAACTGAAAGACAACCATGCACCTCTTACACTCTGTGGTTTCCTTTGTCATGTCACTCATATACTGAATGCATTTCTGATGACTTGTTCAATTAAATGTACCTTCATTTATCTGGTGGCATTTTCTCATAAAATTCACAAATTCCCTTAATTTTGCTGCTTCCCGCATCAAAAACAGAAAGTTGAAGAAAGATTGTAAGGAAGGTTTCACATTAAGGATTCTGGTGACAACAGCCTGGTGATTTTTCAGTCAATCAGGATTTCTTTTAGGAAATATAAAGTAGGTGGATAATTATTTAGTTGAGCTTAAAATGTTTCTTCTGCATGAGTTCCAGAGAAAATGAAGATGCTTTTGTTATTAGCAAAGTAATGAAAGGAGGGCCTGAGGTTCTAGAGGTAGGGGAATTCGAGAGGAGGTGGAATTGAGGGAGAGTTTTTCAATTGTGGTGTTAAGGGAAGGGGGAAATGAAGGAAAGAGAAAGGGAGTAAGTGGCTTTTTAAAACAAAACCTGGAGCATTATGTGCCAAGGAAACTAAAATTGACTGAAGAAAGCTAAGTCTAAAGTTGCCATTAGAAATCGTGAATTCAAAATTCATAATTATAGCAAGTTTGATTTGTTCTTCTAATGAACTATTGAATATCTCATGCCATGGAAATGGTCTTTGATTAAATGAGAGATTTTTTTTTTTTTTTTTTTTTTTTTTAAGACAGAGTCTCACTCTGTTGCCCAGGCTGGAATGCAATGGCGTGATCTCAGCTCACTGCAACCTCCGCCTCCCGGATTCATGAGATTCCCCTGCCTCAGCCTCCTGAGTAGCTGGGATTACAGGCGTACACTGCCACGCCCAGCTAATTTTTGTATTTTTAGTAGAGGCAGGGTTTCACCATGTTGGTCGGGCTGGTCTCAAACCCCTGACCTTGTGATCCACCTGTCTCGGCCTCCCAAAGTGCTGGGATTACAGGTATGAGCCACCGCACTTGGCCTAAATGAGATATTATTAAATGGCAGGAAAATAGTTACATGTACCATCGGGTATACATCTCATTGGGTATTTGCCTGACTATCAAACCCTGGATTCAAGTCTTTCTTTCTAGGCAAACCCTTGACTCACTGGGAAGAGATGCTATGATTCAGGCATGTGAGTATAGAAAATTAAAGTAACATATTTGTTGAGGTAAATTAGCTATCTCTAACATAGGAAGGAGACATTTGTCATTTGATGATGACATATATTCTCCTAGGTCTCTTTTTAGTATTAATATTAGAACAGAATTATAAAATGTTGACACTGGAACAAACCAGCCCATCTGGTTTTTAAGGTTGATTGATTTCCCCAATTTTTGTGTTACTGTATACTTACAAATCTTTAGTTCTTAGTTTATTTATAAGTTGGTGAAGACTAGAGTAGATTAAGTCTTAGGTCCTTCCACATTCTATAATTCATGTGTTATCTAACATATTTAATTGTGTTCAAGACACACATCTTTTTCACATTTTAGTGTCTCTAAAATTGAAGTGTGTCTTACAATCAATATTTCTTAGTTACTGTCACAGAATTGTTATTTATCGGGTTTTCCTTTACTATTTTGAAGGTACATAAAATAATGGTGCATTTTACAATGAACGCTATCTTAGCTTTGATGAAATATGCTGTGTAATTGATAACTGCGCCCCAAAGATACCAAACTCAGATAATGGCATCATCCATCAGCCAATCATATCAAAACCAACTTAGTTCATATTCCTGGGCATCTTTGAGAGGTGAATGGCATTTCAATTCCAGAAAAGGATTTAGTTGATGTAGGTTCCATAAATAAATTCTTTTTATATTTCTCTGGACATCTACTTTGGAGATATCCATTCCTCTTTATCTGAAACTGTTTTCTTTTCCGAAGTTTTGACCAAAAGTCAATACATTCAGTGCCCGGATATTCTGGTATAGGAGTGTAAAATAAGCAATTAGAAAGATAGTTCTTTCCTTATAGCTAAATATGTCTGTTTAATAGTTAATTCAAAAAGAATTTTTTGAATTTCCATGTATTATGCTATCAACTAAGATAATAAACTGGAAGCAATATATATCTTCATGGAATAGGTTGTTAAACAATGCAGTGCAAAAAGGACTGCATTGGGGTAAATGGAAGAAATTGCACAGAAAATCTTAAGTCATGAGAAAAGGCTTTCTGTAGAAGGAGATAGCTGAGGACTGAAAGACAAGTAGGCTTAGCCAAGTGAATTATATGGAAAGAAGAGAAGGGCATTCTAAGGAAAGAAAGCAGAGTGTTCAATGACCCATGATTCAAAAGAAAAAGCAACCCATTAGGCTAAGGGAACTAAATCTTGTACACACTGGCTAGACACTCATAAGGACATCAAGTTTTCTTTCTTTTTCTTTTTTCTTTTTTCTTTTTTTTTTTTTTTGAGACAGAGTCTTACTCAGTCTGTTGCCCAGGCTGGAATGCAGTGGCATGATCTTGGCTCACTGAAACCTCTGCCTCCTGGTTTCAATTGATTCTCTTGCCTCAGCCTCCCAAGTAGCTGGGATTATAGGCACCCACCACCACGCCTGGCTAATTTTGGTAATTTTTGTAGAGACAGGGTTTCACCATGTTGGCCAGGCTGGTCTCGGACTCCTGACCTCAAATGATTCACCCGCCTTGGCTTCCCAAAGTGCTGGGATTACAGACATGAGCCACCATGCCCTGCCCAACATCAAGTTTTCTAAATCAGTCCTTCCATTTAAAAGCATTTCATCTAATCTGAGCTAAACTCTGCACAAAGCATGAGAAAATTGCAAGTAGACTATTGTCTTGACCACATAAAGCTTGAAATTTCAAAATAGGATTACATAAAAATAATCAGATAATAATACAGTTCTGAAGAAGCCACCAAGGACTTTTTGGTTCTCTCACAGATCTTGAAACTAATAATATTTTTTTACAAAAAAACTCATCTCTTTAATGTTCACATCTATTGTTCCTTCTCTTTCCCAATCTCAGTGAATAGCCATACCCTGACAACCAAACCGCAAATCTCAAAATCATATTCATTTGTTCAATAACACTCTCCAAATATAATCCATCATCTAGTTTTCTTTCTTGTTCACCTCATTTTTTAGCTATGCTAATATCAGACAAAATGGACTTTAGAACAAAATTTGTTGCTAGAGAAAAAGGACATTTTATGATAATAAAATCATGTGCACCTAATAAGAGGGCCCCAAAATACATGAAGCATAACCTGACAGAACTGAAAGGAGAAATAGACAGTGAGTGATAACCGGGAAGAAGCTACAAATGAGGATATTCTAATGGATTTCTGTTATCTTTGTTTTAATATCTTTGGGTTGTTCAATATTCCCTCTTCTTAATAGAACCCCTATTTTGGGGGAACTCATTTCTCATGGTTTATGTGAGGCTGACCCTAATTTTCTGACCACAGGAATGGGCATATGATGTACATTTCACCAATTAGAATACCACAGGCTCTAGAGTTAAGACAGAATCCAAGACAGGTCAGTTAGAGAACTCAATGGAAATTTACTGCTATGGTACCCCACTTTTTTTATGTGTGCAAGATTTATTAAGCTGGCATGGTATGATCCATCATGCCTACAACTGAGAAAGAATATGCATGCAAAATTAAGCCAAGCAGAGACAAATGGATTTCAAATAACAAGAAAGCCAGGGCCTTGATAACATTATTTTGAGGTCCTGGATTATTCCTGAATCTAAAATACCTGTAGACATCTTTGTTATGTGAGCTCTTTTGCTTAAGCCTATTTGAGTTAGGATTTCATCACTTGCAACTGGAAGAGACATAAACAAAAAAGCAGCAGTTAACAATAAAAGTGTATCAGTAAACTAGGTATTTGTAAACATGTATAACTAGTTATTGAGCAGGGATATACACATTAAATGTCTTTATTTTTCTCTAATCCCTGTTTTCTGACCTGACTGGTCATATCTTTCTTTCCTTCATCTGATTTCCTGAGACGATTCCACAGTTTCCTAGAAATGTTCAATTATAAGAATGTTTAGATACATATAACACTTTCAGGAAGTAAAATTTCTGGATAAGGTTAAGCCAAAATTCCAGTCTCACTTCTGATTTGATTTGAATATCTTTCTTCTCACAGCTCAAGCCAGACCCATGGCTCTGGGCCTGTAGTAGGGGAGGGGCCATGTTCTCAACTTTCAGATTTCCTTCTTAGCCTTTCAAGCCTTTATTTAGCTGCTGTTTTTTGTAGTTCTTTCTTGGCTGATAGTAAATGCCTAGTGTGTTCTCCATTAGAGCAGGCTTCTAAATACTGCTCTGTCATGGATAACTTTTCTTTTTTCTCCCTTTATTTTCCTTTTGAGTTCTTCAGCCAATATCTCTAAACATTGTTCACTGAGATTGTTCCAGGTTATTATTTGATGACATGGGTAATGTGCTTTCCAGCTGACCTGGAGTGACATCCTTTCAGTCTTTGTCCACAGGGATCCATCCTGTTAGCATCCACTCACCCCCAGCACTTTTTAAAGTAGGATCCCATAGAGACAGCCTAAGCTCACTTGGACTAAAGGAAACTCATGCCTCATTTCCATGCCAGACTCTGGGTAGTCTGCTGCCCCCAGGCTCCACTCTCCCTTCCTTGTCTTGCCATGGAAGACAGCTCCAGCCAGCCTTTTATCTTCTGATTTTTTCCACTTTGGCAGCAGACACCAGTATCTATTTTTATGTACACTGTCAAACTTCAGGGGACACAAATAAATTCCTCCTAAATGTCAAGTGCTCCCAAGGCCTCCCTCATCAAACTCTGATGTACTGACTAAACCTAAAACTGTCTGCGAGTTGAAAGTATCCAATTGGAGAGGACAATATGGTGTCTCTTCTTTTGCAGACATCCACAATCTCTACAAAGGTCTCTTTCAGAGCTCCCCTTACTTGGTTAGGTGGGGAGAGCCCTCTTTCCTTTTCTTCATGTGCATTTCCCCCTAGTAACAGCTCTTGTCCCTAGGCAGATAATTCTTTCCAACTTACGTCTCTTTTCAGGAACTCCTGTCCATTGCTTACATTGGATAGATAGAAAAGGTAAGTGGGAGAAGTAAGTTCCAGTTGGATCACCCCTTAGTAAACACTTGAAGGATTGCTGGCTGCTCTTTAGAACACAGAAGCACTTATTGACAGTGGTGGTCCTCAATGTGTTTAATGGCGAGTGTGTTTAATGGCTCCTATGGCAGGTCATTAGATGGATTCAGACCATAATGTTGAAACAGTATTCTGTAAAGGCCTTGATGATCTAGAATTTAATCTTTTAGTTTCTGAGCCATTAGGAAATCAAGGGGTTCCAGGTAAGAGGCTAAGGCAGTAGAATGGTGGGGCTCAGGGAAGTGGCTACTTATCAGTTCTCTAGAAGTATTTCTATGTTTTAGCAACCAAGTACCTGAGAGCCCTGCCTATTTCCTATTCTCCTCAGGATTATTTGCAAGCCCTTCTCATTAAGAAACAGGGGCAAAGCACAACGTGTACTTGAAAAGAATTGAAGCTTGAGCTAAAATCTCCAGATAATAAAAAAAGTGTTACTCCACATTTTGTTGGAGTCAATGTCCAAGAAATGTTTGATAAACTTAACTGAGTTAAGGTCAGAGCCTTGGGGAGAGGAACTGCTGAAGGAGCAGTAGGCGTAAAAGGAGAAGGAAATCAGGAGAATGTGATGAACAGAAAACAAGAGTTGTATGAAAAGTAGACCATTTGCAGCATGGAAGACAAAGACACTGAAGGTGAAGGAAACATCCTTATTTTTATTGATGGCCTTCATAAGAAAATTCTTAGAATGGTGGTGAAGCTGAAAGTGAGAAAAGAGAGATAAGAGAGTAGACGAGGTGAGATGAAGAAATAAAAGTGACAGATGCAGGCAATTCAAGTGTGGAGTTATAAGGATGGGAAGAAGTTGGATGGTAGTGAGAAGGGCATATGGAACAAGAAAGCTTGCTCGGAAGTGTTTTGTTTTTGTTTTTCAAACATTTAAGTATGTTTGAAGGCAGAAGAGTAGGAGTTGGTTGGGAATAAATGGCTGTGACTGTGAAGAAAATATAAAGCATAGTCCCTTTGCATCTGGAAGGCCTGAGCTCACAAAGATAGGATTGGCTTTGGGAAAGAGGAATTTCACTTCCCCTCCAAGACTGGATGGCAACTTCTGAGTATTTACCAGGGTGTGAAAAAAGAGTGAGTGTGGGAAAAACTAGTAGCTTGAGCCAGTAAACCCCTATCTTCTGAGTCAAGAGGCAAGAAGATTATTGAGAGTGGCAGAGAGAAAGGAGAGGTCTAGAATATTTTGCAAAGGAGAATTTGCAGAACTGAATTACCAGGCATCAGGGTGGGTTCCAGCTGGAGTCAACACTCCAGCTGTCTGGTGAACAGATCCCCATGCTGTGAGGCTCAGGAAAATAAGCAGAGAGAGAGACAGTGGATTTGCTTTTGGGAAAGGAACTGATATAGCTTAGTGGTTAGGCACAGTTAGGGTGAGGAGAGGACAATAGCACAAAGCTGAGTGGCTATGAGTCCAGGCTGAGGAGAGAATCCAGAGAATGAACAGGATGAAGCCGGGGGTTCTGAATAAAATGGCAGACTCCATTTATATAGGAAGCAGATTGTCTAACCATCAAATGGGAGGAGGGGTTGAAATGTTGTTTATTCTTTGGAAAGAGGACTGGGCTCCATGGATGTTGAGGTCCTGGAAGGCCTTGCTGAATTGTGACTGGTGTGGGAAGTTAGGAAGAACTAAAACTTTTCATTAGCTTGGCTTTTGATCTGAAATAAGTTTTGAAAGAGCTATATGCTGGAGAAATAAAGAGGAGTGGCCCTGGAGTCAGACAATAGTGGAGCCACACGGACATATGCAAATATGTGTGTGTTCCCTTGCTTTTGAAAGCAAACATTTTGTTTTCAGCAAACAGCTTGCATCTTGTGCTTCCTTAATAAAAAAAAAAAAAGTGGGGGAGAAAAGTACATACACAAAACAGCCTGTCACTGCTGGCTTCACAGAGGAGGAAGACAGGCCCTTGAGTGTTTTCCAGTAAGCAGCTCCCTAAGCTGGTTCTCACACGAGAAAGAAACTCAGAGTAACAAAAGGTGCCCGTGAAAGGTTCTTTTAGACTAAAATTTGGTGGAGATTAAAAGAGGGCAAAAGTTCAAATGAGAGGGAGCCACTGCCAAGTAGGCAGAAATCTTAGCCAAGGGGAAGGAAAAGGAGCCACTGGTTTAGAATGCAAGTAACCATGGCGAGCCAACAGCTCAATGCTAGAATCTGGTTAAGAAGTAATATCACACAGAGCTGTGATTGTTTATTCAAAGCAGGCCATGAGAGAACAGTTGTCTCCAATGGGTACTTGCACAGCTTGGATTCAAAATTATAAGTACATTTTTAAAAGCGTCCAGCGCTTCTCCCTGACCCATTTGGTATTAAGCAAAAAAGAAAAGAAAGCACAAAGTTTATTCTCAGTGTCTCTTGTGGGTTTAAGACGGCTTTACATATGGAAAAGCATTTTGGTGTCAGCTGTTGAACTGGTTTCTTGCTATTCTGCTTTCAGTTGCCATTGGAAACTTTGGCTGGCTGTGTGGTAACATCACCCATTTCCCAAGGTTCAGAAACCAATGCCCCTCTAAAGGGAAGCAGAGCATTTCTTTCTTTTCACGTACATGTTGTGCTTTGCCCCTGTTTCTTAGTGAGAAGGGCTTGGAAACAGCTAACGGACTGTGGGAATAAAGATGAAGTATTGAAATGCTTCATCTTGATGAAGCTAAGCATGAAGATAAGCATGATACAATGTAACAAGAGGTTCTGCAGTAGCCAGAAACACAGCTTCACATAAATGCCAAGTCTTCCAACGTAGATTTTCCATTTGCTGTTGTCATCACTATATAGATTGTAGACAGAGGCTGTTATCCTTTCTGTGTAAATGAAATAGTATTACTAGAGAAAGGGCTTTTGGAAGGGAGAGTGGGCTTCTGTTGGTTTTTGAGTCCCTGAAATTTATGCAAAAGCTCCTATATCACTTTGCATGTGCATTTTTTTTTCTGGGGCAATATGTCCATAACTTTCCTCAGATTATTAGAGTGGTCCATTACCCAAAACACATTAAGAACCAAGGAACTGAAGTATCACCAAGTGAGGCACATTGGCTACACTCTCACATATGGAAAGAATGTAACCTAATGGTTTCAATTATGACAATGCAGTAATATGGACAGTGTACTGGGAAAACTTTCTCCCTAGTTAATGGATACAACATGGTCAACGGGAGGAAATTTCCAGGAGAAGATTGACTCTCTGCTGGTTGGCAGCTGGGGGAAGCGGTGTTCAGCTTTAAAAAAGAATGTGTCATGTTGGTGTTCTCTTTTTATATCTTGAGCTATCGAGGAGTTGGAGAGATACAAAGAGAATCTGCTTTGTCAGGAAAGGAAGAGGTGTGCTTCAGAGCTCAACCTGATGATTTCACAGACCAATTTAGAGCAAAAGGGAAGGGCAGCCTCATCACATGGTCTAGTTCAAGGAGGTAGTCTAGCATAGTGTTCTGGCACTTAAAATATATCATCTGGAATCAGACTGCATGGGTTTGAAACCAGGTCCGTTAAGCAGTAGATAGGAAAGTCAGGTGTTAGTTACGTATCATCCCTTTGCCCAAGTTTCCTTATTCTTAAAGTGGAATTACAATAGTACAACCAGTACTTACTGTTTTCATCTGCTTTGGGCCACCATAACAAAATACTAGACTGTGTGGCTTAAACAACAGAAATGTATTTTTTCAAAATTCTGGAGGCTGGGAAGTCCAAGATCAAGGTTCTGGCTAATCTGGCTTTAGGTGAGGGCTCTTTTCTTGTCTTACAGATGGCCACCTTCTCACTGTGTCCTTATATGTCCTTTCTTCAGAGCATGAGGTGCAGAAAGAGAAAACTCTCCAGTGTCTCTTCCTTATAAGGAAATTAGTCGTGTCTGATCAGGACCCCACACTTAGGACTTTATTTAACATTAGTTACTTCCTTACACGCCCCATCTCCAAATACATCCACACTGTGGGATAGGGGACCTACCTATCAATTCAGGGCACAAATATTTCATCTTTAACACTTGTTATTCACAGATTTCATATTTGCAGATTTGTCTGCTCACTACAATTTATTTATAACTCCAAAATCAATACTTGCGGCACTTTCATGGTTATTTGAAGACATGCACAGAGCTGTGAAAAATTTTATTCACCTGATATACATGCTCCCAGCTGAGGTCAAACAAGGCGATGCTCTGCTTTCTGGTTTCAGCTCACATGCTGTAAACACGTGTCCTTTCCACAGTCTAGGTGACGCAACATTTTCACATTTTTGTGCATTTCTGTTGGTGATTTCACCTTCTAAAATGGCCCTAAGTGTAGTGCCAAAGTGCTGTCTGTCTAGTGTTTCTGTGTGCAAGAAGGCTGTGGTGTGTTTTATGGAGAAAATACATGTGTTAGATAAGTTTTATTCAGGCAGGAGTTATAGTGCTGTTGGCCATGAGTTTAATGTAAATAAAACAACATTATATGTTACATGAGGTGTCTTTAAACACAAGCACACATAAAACAGGGTTGTATAGATGTTCAGTTGATGAAAATGCTGTCACCAGGGGCTCAAAGGAACCTGACCATTTATTTTTTCTAGGAGCAGCAGTCCAATTCATTGTTTGTACAGAACATAAGTACTGTGAATAATGAGAATTGATTGACTATGACTCATCAAGCTATTATGAAGATTAAATACATTTTTATTCATAAAGTCCTTACAAGACTGCTGTCCTAGTTTAGGCTGCTATAACAAATACCATAGACAGGGTGGCATAAACAACATTTATTTTCCATTTTTGAGGCAGTGAAATCCAAGATCAAGCTACTAGCTTGACATGGTTTGGATCTGTGTCCCCATGCAAATCTCATGTTGAATTGTAATCCCCAGTGTTGGAGGTGGGGCATGGTGGGAGGTGATTGGATCATGGCGGCAGGTGGTTTCTCATGACTGGTTTAGCACCATCCTCCTAGTGCTGTTCTCGTGATAGAGTTCTCACAAGATGTGGTTGTTTAAAACGGTGTAGCATGCCCCTCCTTCTCTCTTGCTCCTGCTCCAGCTGTGTAAGACAGGTCTGCTTCCCCTTTGCCTTCCACCATGATTGGAAAGTTCCTGAGGCCTCCGCAGAAGCTGAAACAACTGTGCTTCCTGTGTAACCTCCAGAACCAGGAGCCAATTAAGCCTCTTTTCTTTATAAATTACCCAGTCTAGATTTCTTTATAGCAGTGTGAGAACAAACTAACACTTGGCTGATTCGTTTCCTTGTGAAGACCTGCTTCCAGGTTTGCAGATGGGTGACTTCTTGCTGTATTCTTACATGGTAGAGAAAGAGAAAGATCCTCTCTCTCATATCTCTTTAAGAGACAGGAATCCCATTCATGAGGGCTCCATCCTCATGACCTAATTACCTCCTGAAGGCCCCACCTCCTAATGTCGTCATATTGGGAATTAGGGCTTCAATACATGAATTTTGGGAAATAAGCATTCAGTCCATAGCAACTGCCTAACTCACAGTAAATGCTCAATATATGCCCTCTATTATTATTTTCTCAGTACTAGAACAGTAAAAGATCCCTCCACAGTTGGAAACAACAACACAAGATATTAAATAACACTCACTGAAAGTGTTATATAGTTAGGCTTTATAGTCAAGCAGAAAAAAAAATATATTTACTGCTATGTATTGTCTACCCTGCCATTTATAGGGTAGGGTAGACAGAAATATCCAAAAGTGCTTAAATTTTAGCAGTGGATTATGGCTTAACTTGTATTAATTAGTTTACTCATTCTTCATTTACATCATCTGTAAAACATTTACTCTGCATATTCATGTTGTGAAATAAATGCTGTGGGCATACTAATATGAATAAATCTTGTATATAACTAACTAAATAAATAAAGATATGGGATAAGCAGTGACTTGATGGAAAGGTAAAGAAGATACTAAAGGAATGTAGAGATGGGATAAATTCCCTGAGAGTTCTCTCAGCATTTTCCTGAGAACTTCCTGGTCTTAAAGCCAAGCTGATGTTTGTGATAAAATAGGAGGGAAGCAGCAGCTTCAGTAAGGCCCATGGGCAAGGACCAGGTTGGCCATGATGATCTGTTAGGACTCCATCCCCTGCATTGATTCAACTATAACACTATCATCAATTTTTTGGTTAAGAGCTTAGATGCTGACGCCAAGTCTGGCTGTTTTCAAGTTTCAATATTTCCTACTACCAACTCTGACCTTGAGCAAGTTCCTTAATTTCTCTGTGACCCAGTTTCCTTAATATATAAAATGAGGGTGATGATAGTGCCTTCTAGCATTTCTAGATTAAATGTTTCACAAGCACCCTAGAACTGTGTCTGGTACATGACATACTTTACTTCAATATTTAACAAATAATTAAGTGACCTGAATGTCCCACACCAGACACAAAGTAGTAGTCAGATAACGTAATTAACAATCAATTGTTGAATGAATAAGTGAAAAGTAAAAGACCCTGGAAAATGCTAGGAGGAAAGAAAATATGAAGGCATGACTTAAAAAGAGCTAATTTGATAGTTAAGATACTTTAGATTGCTGCTGCCTTGCATGAAAGCTTCTAATGAGCTGACTTGGTTAATATTTAAAAGTCCAAACTTTATGGCATGGCATATTGACAAGAAAAGGACAGGGTTTGTGGCAGCAACATATAAACCCCCAAATCTCAATGGTTTGGAAACAAAAGCGTGTTTCTTTCTCTAGCACATTCTGATGAAAGAGTTCTCATCTATTTGATCACTGAGAAATTCGGGCTGAGTTTATCTTGTGATACTATCATCTCATGTCACCCTGTGTGTGAAGAGAAGAATGGAGAAGGGAAATTGATTCTTAGTTGCCATGGCCTAGATGTGACATATGTCATTTCTGCTCAGAGTCCATTCCTCAGCACTGTCGTGTTCCAAAGGCAGCTGAGGGCTGGAAAATGTAGGGCACATATGGATATGCAATGAACAGCTTTCTCAGCCCCATATGGCATGCAAGGACCTCAGTAATCTGTGAGTGGCTATTTCCACCTATCTTTCAAACCCAGTGAAGGTCTGAGGTCTCATGACACTGACAAATAATCACTCTATGTATGGAACAGGCTTTCATCACATGAAGTCTGGTAATGATACTTGCTAGGTGCTGGCTCTATGGGAGTGACAAATACAGGATATAGCTTCTGCCTTTGAGGAACTTACAGTATGGTAAAGGAAATGCGAAGGTAAGAGTAGAAGGCAATGTAGAATCAATTGCAACTGAGTGCCAGAGATAAGCTAGCTTGGTTTTAGTACAAGGACCTTGAGGTCTGGAATCAGGCAGCCCCGGGCCCCAAAGTTCACTACTTGCATTATCTTAAGCAAGTCACTTAATCTCTAACTGTGTTTGTGTGTGTGTGTGTGTGTGTGTGTGTGTGTGTACACACACACACACACACACATACACATGTATACAGGGTGAGAATCCAAAAATCTGATATTGAAAATGCTCCCAAATCCAATATTATTTAAGTGGTGACATGATACCACGGTGGAAAATTCTACACATAAGCACTCAACACAATTTTGTTTCAGGCACAAAATTAATACAAATGTATAAAATTATCTTCAGGCTATGTGTAGAAAGTATAAAAACCATAAATGAATTTTGTGTTTAGACTTACGTCCTTTTCCCAAGACATATATCTACAAATATTCTAAAATACGGAAGAAAAGTACAAATCCAAAACACTTCTGGTCCCAAGCATTTCAGATAAGGAATACTCAATCTGTATGTATCCTTAAGACTCAATAACTCAAGAAGTAGTAGCTACTGTTATTTTTAATAAAAGACATCCTTGATAAGAAATAGATTTTTTTTTCAGACATGGGATAAAATAGGACATTATCCCAGTTACCCTTTTTAAACCTCTGTTGAACAGCAGCCCAAAAGCAAAGGTAAAGATATTATTCATCTAGTCTGAAAGAATTTCTTCTAGATTATCTGGTTGATAGGTATCTCTCCTAAGTGGCTCGTCACTCACTCTCCCTTGGTGGAAACACAGACCGTGATAACTCAGAACCTAAGCTTAAAAGATGTTTTCTGCTATGTTTCAGGGGAAAACAGGACCACAAAACCTACACCCAGCAAGACTGCAGTAGCATTTGGTTAGGGATACCTCTGCAGTGGTAAGCAGTACTAGATTTATGCCTCACCAGAGGTACTGCCACTGGTACCCACAGTGCCTGTAACACCCTTTCAGAGGCATGCAGTTGGGATGAAGGGGGCACATAAAATATGAAAGTAACCAATGAACTTCTCATTTTAGCAAACACCTCCCCACTTTCTAGCCTCCACATCCTTAGATATGGGGGACTTCCTTTTCCCAAGTCCATCGCTACAGGTTTTCAAATCATAGTTTACTGAATTATTTCAAAACTTACTGAATGAGAAGTTATTATCCACTTGGCTCTCTTGATTTCCAGAGTCAACTTAGAAGAGCAGATGTTCCGTTTCTTTCCCCAGGCGCTATCTATCCCAGATCGGGGGCTCTGGGAACTGACAGAGGTGTCGACAGATCTCCCACATACATCCTGATTCATGATAAAGGGAGCCTGACTGAAAAAGTTCTCACTCTCTCGTATCACACTACTGACTGTGACAAACATCAGTAGATCCTTTTTTTTTTTCTACTACCATGAATAAGAATATCATTTTACCATTTCTCTCAGAGCACAGAAGCAAATAGAAAGGAAGAATCCCATTATTTTCATTGCATAAAGCTATCTTGGGCTCTGTTCATCAGAGAGTTCAATTTTGCTGAATAATTCTCTATAGACACGAATGATAGAAGAGGGGATCATTACCCATCTGTTTGCCCTCTCGGCTTTTGTTCAGCCCTTATTGTCTTTTCAATCTGGATCCATCTGATTGCTTTAGTGACGCAGGAAGACATCACCAAATATGAGCACATTCCCAGGCCCAGGAGCCTCTCGCCACACTGAGGCAGAATGATACAGAGTATTTTGCCTTGGAGCATTTCAGCAAACTGGGGCTGGAATACGATGCTTAAGGTCAAAGCAATGGCATCTGTAGCTGGGAAAGGGCCAACGGAGATCATTTTTATCTTCTACTGTACACATGCAGTCTATTTATCACCAGGCATCAAGACCTTTACTGAACAGCCAGGAAAATCACAGAGAGCAGAGCTCTGGTCTCTGCTGTCAGAGGTGCTATTTGTATTATTTTGCCTTGTTTTTCCCTGGAACCTCATATAAAGCTTTTTCAGGCTTGGGCAAAGCTTTGCTTGGATTTTCGTGTCAAGAAGACAAATTTAAACTGGAGTTTGGAAAGGAAGGAGAGACTTTTGAGCAGTATTATTTCTGACTTCCAGTTTGTAGAATCCACAGGAAATTCTTTTTGGGAAATGGATATGGTTGCCAAATTGTATAAACTTAATTAGAAAATAAAATGATTGTTTTCTATCAAACCACATCCACTTAAGCCCCATGTGAAAAACCCATCTCTAATTCTCTTCTGACATTCTTTTTGATGTGAGCAGAATTACAGATTATTAAATAGAGACAGTTTAGAATCAAAACCTTTTCATTGCTGAAAATTGCCTTTCACTTATTTTGTAAAGTCCACCTGACTTTCTACGAGCCCTATTATAGAAAGGAAATTGTAGCTATACTTAAATCCTTTCAATTCACGCTCTTAGATCCAATAGGATGTAAAAGGTAAGAGAAACACTAACATCTTACAGGGCCTGGGTTCAATTCTACACTGAAAACACACACACACACACACACACAAAACACCCTATGTCCTTTACATCTCAGAACTTCATTTTCCTCACCAATAAAAATACAGTTGAACAAAATTGCTTCTAAAGTCCTCTCTTTTTCTGAAAGTGTCTTTTCCTTGATAGTATTTCCTTCGAGTAACATTTGCACTATGTATTTACTATTTCTCTATATTGATTTTGTGGCTACTCTATTAACTAGAAACATACTTACCTTTGTCTTCATGAGTGTAACAGGCCAAAATGGAGAAAGTGACATGACCTTCAACCTTTAAAAGCACGTTGTCCTAAACAATTTCTGGGCTGTGCTCCTAATGTACTTGTGATTATGCCTCTTGTTTCATTTAAGATTTGGCAATAAGAAATTTAGAAAGAAGATGCCTATTATGTTTTCATTCTCTCCCCTACCCATTTTCATTTAACAATGCACTGCTATGCTATCATGTACTTATTTTGTAATTTACTGTTAATTTTTGTGACACCATCATAATCAGCATTTCAAAGCATATTTGAAAGATGCATTGTTTCATGCCGTTTTTGTACAGTAAATTGCATTTTGATGTTATCCATTTTCAAGGTTGCTAAAGCACACTCATAACAGGTCATCATGATCCTAGATAAAAACAACCCAGAAGCACCAGATTACACATCCCAACTTAAAAAAATACAGGGATCTGATTTTGCTTTTCAGATTCAAAGAACTGGCTTCATCCTGTACTTCTTCAGTGCTTGAGGGAAAAATATAATAAGATATTAAGATATAGCTTCAAAATTCTGCTCCTCGAAAGTCCTGTGTAGTGTTCACTTACATTTCTGAGAAATAAAGAGAAGAGGTTAATAAGCCACATTTACTAAGTCTCTTCTATCATATATTCCAGATGCCGAATACTTTTGCTTCTAATCCCTAAGTGGGTAGTAGTATGCTTATACTGCAGATGAGAGCTAAATGTTTGCAAATATTTTAGAAATTGCTGTATGTTTCACAAAAAGAAAATACACATCTTTTCGAATTTGTTTTTTCTCTGTCTGGTATTTCACAAGGAGGACCAAGGTTTAAATATTTTTCCGTCTTGCAAAGGATCTTTACTGAGCCAACCATAATGGAGCATGTAATTCATGAGCCCAAAGTCCTTCTCTGCTATAGAAGCATCTACTTGCCCTACACTTTTTATGATAAAAGAGGACACAGTCCCTCCCTCCCTCCCTCCCTCCCTTTTTCTTTTGTTCCTTTATTTTTCATTTATTTAAAGACTATGTTTTTAGAATATTTAAAGCTCACAGCAAAATTAGGAGAAATGTACAGAGATTTTCCATATGACCCTTGCCCCTTCACATGCATAGTCTGCCTTATTATCAACATCCCCCTTCTGAGTGGTACATTAGTTAGCATTAATAATCCTCCATTGACACATCATTATCACCCAGAGTCCATAGTTTACCATAGTATAATCTATGGGTTTGACAAAACATATAATGACATATATCCACCATTATAGTATCATATAGAATAGTTTCACTCCCCTAAAAATACTGTGTGCTCTGTCTATTCATGCCCCCCTCCCCAACCCCTGGCAACCACTCATCTTTTTACTGTCCCCATAGCTTTGCCTTTTCCAGAATGTCATATAATTGGAATAATAAGTATGTATCCTTTTCATATTGTCTTCTTTCACTTAATTATATGCATTTAAGTTTCCTCTATGTCTTTTCATGGCTTGATAACTAATTTCCTTTTAACACTGAATAATATTCCATGGTCTGGATGTACCACAGTTTATCTATTCACCTACTAAAGGACATTTTGGTCACTTCCAAGTTTTGGTAATCATGAATAAAACTGCTGTAAACACCTGAGTAACAGTTTAGTCCACAAGTTTATGTGTGGGCATAAGTTTTCATCTCCTTTGAGTAAATACCATGGAGAGTAATTGCTAGATCATATGGTAAGAATATGTTTAGTTTGGTAAGAAACTTCTGTTTTCCAAAGCTGCAGTACTATTTTGTATTCCCACCAGCAATGATTGACAGTACCTGTTGTTCCACATTCTTGTCAGCATTTGGTTTTGTCTGTGTTACAGATTTTGGCCATTCTAATGCGTGTGTATTGCTATCTCATTATTGTTTTAATTTGTATTTTCCTGATGACATAGGAAGTGGAACATATTTTCATATGCTGATTTGTCACCTGTATATCTTCTTTCAGATGCGTGTTGCAGTCTTTGGTTTATTGTTTAAATCAGGTTATTTTCTTATTGTTGAGTTTTTAAGTTTCTAATATATTTGATATATATAAATAATATATCAAAATAGTTGTATTTTGGGGCTGATGCTTTGTGTTTTAAAAATTTTTAAATTAGAAACTCAAATTTTTAATAGATATATCAAAATAGTTGTATTTTGATATATTGTATCAAAATATAGTTGTATTTTGATATATTGTATCAAAATATAGTTGTATTTTGATATATTGTATCAAAATATAGTTGTATTTTGATATATTGTATCAAAATATAGTTGTATTTTGATATATTATTTGATATATTTGATATATATTATTTTATATATTAATATATTATTTTGATATAAAAGTATTTGCAAAAAGACTCATGTGATAAAGACCTATATAGTAGTACTAATAGGACTATGTAATAGTCCTTTATGATTTGTGTCTTTTTGCAAATATTTTCTCCCAGTCTGTGGCTTGTCTTCTTATTCTCTTGTCATTGTATTTAACAAACCAGAAGTTTCTGGGGGTTTTTTAAGTGTAGCTTCTCAATTTTTATCTCATTATTTGTGACTGGTGTTTTATTCAAAAAGTCATTACCATACCCAAAGTTTTTTATATTTTCTTTGATGCTATCTTCTAGGAGTTTTATAGTTTTTCTTTTTTTCACTGAGGTCTATGATGCATTTTGAGTTAATTTTTGTAAAGTGTGTGTGGTCTTTGTCTAGCTCACTGTTTTGCATGTGGCTCTCCAGTTCTAGCACCATTCACTGAAAGACTATTGGTTGCCTATCTTGATGTGGGTCTATTTCTGGGATCTCAGTTCTCTTCTTTTGATCTATTTCTTTATTCTTTAACTAATATGACATTATCTTGGTTTCTATAGATTCATGGTAAGTCCTGAAGTCATGTAGTGTCAGTTCTCAAACTTTGTTCTTCTTCAATTTTGCATCAGGAATTATGGGTTTTTGCCTCTCCATAAAAACATTAGAATCATTTTGTTGATATCTACACAATAACTTATTGGGATTTTTGTTAGGATTGCATTGAATCTATTTTTTCTATTTTTTTCTTCTTTTTTTTTTGAGATGGAGTCTTGCTCTGTCACCCAGGCTGGAGTGCAGTGGCACTATTTGAGCTCACTGCAAGCTCCGCCTCCCTGGTTCACGCCATTCCCCTACCTCAGCCTCCTGAGTAGCTGGGACTACAGGCACCCACCACCATGCCTGGCTATTTTTTTTTTTTTTTTTGTATTTTTTAGTAGAGACGGGGTTTCACTGTGTTAGCCAGGATGGTATTGATCTCATGACCTCATAATCCGCCTGCCCCAGCCTCCCAAAGTGCTGGGATTACAGGCGTGAGCCACCGTGCCCAGCCTGCATTGAATCTATATATCAATTTGGGAGTAACTGACATCTTGAAAATACTGAGTCTTCCTAACTATGAACATGGAATAGCTCTCCATTTATTTAGTTCTTTCTTGATTTCATTGATCACAATTTCATTGTTTTTTGCATATAGATCTTATACATATATTATTAGATTTATAATTAACTATTTTATTTTGGGGGATGCTAATGTAAATGGCATAGTGTTTTGGATCTAGAATTTCACTTGTTCATTGCTGGTATATAGGAAAGCAATTGACTTTTGTATATGAATCTTATATCCTACAACTTTGCCATAATTGTGTAATAGTGTTTTTGTTTCATCAATTTTTAAAGATTTTCTTCATAAATGATTATGTCATCTGCAAACAAAACAGTTTTATTTTCCTTTCCTGTCTGTATATTTTTTACTTCCTTTTCTTGTGTTATTGCATTAGCTAGTACTTCCAATATGATGCTCAAAAGTAGTAGTGAGAGAAGACATCCTTGCCTTCCTCCTAATTTTTAAATCATTGGAAAAGCTTCAGGCTTCTCATCATTAAGATGTTAGCTATAGGTTTTTGTAGATTTTTAAAAAAATTTATCAAGTTAAAGACATTCCAGAATTTTTATCATGAATGAGTATTGGATTTTTTAAAATTCTTTTTTTCTGCATCTATGGATATGATCATGTGATTTTTCTTTTTTATAATGTTAATGTGATAGATTACATTGATTGATTTTTAAATGTTTATCCAGTCTTGAATACCTGGGATACATCTCACTTGCTGATGGTGTATACTTCTTTTTATACATTGTTGGATTTGATTTGCTGGGTTTTTTTTTTTTTTTGAGAATTTTTACATCTATCTTCATGAGAGATATTGGTTTGTAGTTTTCCTTACTTTTAACACTTTTTCCTGGTTTTAGTATTAGGGTTACTCTTGCCTCATAGAATGAGTTAGGAAGTATCGCCTCTGCTGCTATCCCCTGAAGGAGATTGTAGAGAACTGAAATAATTTCTCCCTTAAACATGTGGTAGAATTTACCAGTGACTACATCTGGGCCTGATGCTTTGTGTTTTAGAAATTTTAAAATTTGAAACTCAAATTTTTAATAGATGATAATTCAGATTGTCTATTACTTCTTGTGGAATTTTTGGCAAATTGTATCTTTCAGGGAATTGATTCACTTCATTTAGATTACCAAACTTGAGAGCATAGAGGTATTTATACTATTCCTTTATTATCCATTTAATATTTACAGGATCTGTAGTATTGTTCTCTGTTTCATTTCTGATGTAATTTATATCCTTTCTCTTTTTGCATATTAGGCATGGAAGAGGCTTATTAATTTTATTGATCTTTTCAAAGAAACAGCTTTGGGTTTTATTGCTTTACCCTACTGATTTCAGGTTTTTTATTTCACTGATTTCTGCTTTAATTTTTATTACTGCTTTCCTTCTTGTTACTTTGGATTTCATTTGCTTTTCCTTTTCTAGTTTGCTAAGGTAGAAACTTGTATTGTTGATTTTAGATTTTTCTTCTTTTCTAATGTATGCATTCAATGCTATAAATTTCCCTGTAAGCTTTGCTTTCGTACATCCCACAAATTTCAATCTGTGTTTTCCATTTTCATTTAGTTCAAAGTATTTTTAAATGTGTCTTGAGATTTCTTATTTAATTCATGTGTTATTTAGAAGTATGTTGTTTAATCTTCATGTATTTGGGATTTTTCATTTATTTTTTCAGTAATCTCTAGTTTAAGTGTATTTTGGTCTGAGAGCAGAACTTACATGATTTTTATTTTTTAATATGTGTTAAGGTATGTTTTATGGCCCACAATGTGGTCTACCTTGGTAAATGCTCTATGTGAGCTTCAGAAAAATGTGTTTTCTGCTATTGTTGCATGAAGTTGATTATATCCAGCTGATTGATGGTATTGTTGAATTCAAATATATCCTTGCTGCCTTTCTGCCTGCTGGATTTCTCTATTTCTGATGGGGGTGTTGATGTCTCCAACTATAATAATGAGTTCACCTTTTCCTTCTTGCAGCTGTATGAGATTTTGCTTCACTCAGTTCGACTGTCTGTTGTCACATTAAGAATTGTTATGTCTTCTTGTAGCATTGACTGCTTTATTGTAATGTAACGCTTCTTTTTATCTCTGATAACTCTCCTTGCTTTGAAGTCTGTTCTGGTGTGTGTGTGTGTGTGTGTGTGTGTGTGTGTGTGTGTGTGTGTGTGTGTGTAGCATGGTATATCTTTCTCCATCCATTTACTTTTAATCTATGTGTGTCTTTATATTTAAAGTGGGTATCTTGTAGACAACATATGGTTGGGTCTTGTTTTTAATTCATTCTGACAATCTTTTTTCTTTAAGTAGATCATTTAGACCATTGACATTCAAAGTGATTATTGATATTTAGATATTTAGATTAAGATTTACTTGGAACAGTTCTCTAGTTCTTTTTCTTGTTCTTATTTTTGTCCTTTTTTCTGCTATATGTGGTTTTAATCGAGCATTTTACATGATGCCATTTTATCTCCTTTCTTAGCATATCAGTTATACTTCTATTTTTATTTTTAGTGGTTGCCCTAGAGTTTGTAGTGTATGCTTACAACTATATATTATATATAAATAAGCACACATAATTATTATGGTTTGGATTTTTACATCCTCTCCAAAATTCATAGCTTGAAACCTAATCACCTAATCTGCAATGTAATAGGATCAAAAGGTGGGGTCTTTAAGAGGTAATTAAGTAATAAAGTCAGAGCTCCCATAGATGAGATTAGGACTCATAAAAAGGCTCAAGGTGGAAGAGGGAGTATACTTCCTCTCTTGCCCTTCCACCTTATATCATGTGAGGACACAGTGTTCCTCCCCTCTAGAAGTCAGGAAGAAAGGGCCTTGCCAGATGCTGGTGCCTTGGTCTTAGACTTCTCAGCATCCAGAACTGTGAGAAATAAATTTCTGTTCATTACACATTACCTAGTCTTTGATATTCTGTTATAGCTGCAGAAAATGGACAAGGACAATAATCAAATACATTGCTGTTATTATGAATTTTGAACAAACTGTTGTCTAATCAATTAAGAATAAGAAAAACAAAAATTTCTATTTTATCTTCACTTATTCTTTTTTTAATACTCTTCTTTATGTAAACATGAGTTCTGAACTATAGTATTTTCCTTCTCTCTAAGGAACTTCTTTTAACATTTCTTACATGGCAGTTCTACTGGCAACAAATTCCTCAATTTTTGTTTTTCTGAGAAAGTCTTACTACATCTTCAGTTTGGGAGGATAATTTTGCAGAGTGCAGAATTCTAGGTCAGTGGCATTTTTTTTCTCAACACTTTAAAAATCTCTTCCACTCTCTTCTTACATGTATTATTTCTGAGGAAAAGTCATATATAATTATTTTCCTTGCTCCTCTAAAGGTAAAGTGTTTTTATCCTGACGTTTTCAGGGCTTTTCCTTCATCTTCGGTTTTCTGTAGTTTGAAAATAATGTGCCTAGGGAGGTGGGACAAGATGGCCTACTAGATACAACCAGGAAGTGCTACTCCCACCAAGGAGACCAAATTATTGAGTAAACCACCATAACTTGGGTGTATCTTCAGATAGAAAATGCCAAGAGTGGATGTAGAAACAATATTGAAGCTTAAGCTAAAGAGGAAGGAAGTTTAGACCCTTGAGTGGGGTACTAGGAGTACTAGGAGTAGTTTCTGGCCCTGAATGGTTCATGGGAAAAGGATTAGTGAGGGAACTGAAGGATGGCTCACTCTCACTGTGGACCTCTTAGATCCTAGCTACGGGTGACTGCATCCCCTGTGATTATGTGAGCAGGCATAGGGATCTGCCTCTCCACAGAAACAGAGACAGGCCTTCAGATGACATAGAGCTGGGAAGCTTTTGTGAGCTGGGCAGCTTCGCCAGAGAGTGGCCATGGACGCCCATCCCCCAGGGCTCCGCATCCCTTTCCAGGAGCTGTAAGTCTCAACTGACCTCTAAGCCAGGAGGCAGCAGGGCTAGCTCCCCATTGGACCTAGGATGCATCTGTTCCAATGGGAAGATGCAAGCTCCCCTGCCCACCAGCCCTTCCCAGGGCTAGTCAACTGCAGGAGCAGGTGCACAGTGCTGTCCTTGCATGCCATACTGAGTGCATTTCTGTACCTGAGTACTTTCCTGGTGACCTGGGAGCACATAAGATCCCCCTGTGCAGCTGGAACCCGACCCCAAGCTGTGGGATGTTCTGGTGTCCCAAGAGCTGTGGTGTTCAGCTGGGGAATATGGAGATATTGCAGGGGAGAACCCCGACCCTCAGAGCATTGAGAAGGGCAAGATGCATGGGTTCCTGGGCCAGGGCAGGAGTGGGGCATGCCTTCCTCTACAAGGCCAGTCTAGAAATGGTGTGGCTTATCTCCCTGCTGCAGCCTCTGCCTGAGAGAGCCCCACAGCCCAGAACATCTAACAAAAGCAATGTGGATGCATTGCCAGTGATCAGAATGGCTCCCCCAAGTCCCAGGAATGAACCTGGTGAGGAGGCTATGCCCCACCTCAACCACAGAGCACACTTTGAATGTCAGAAAATACAAAAGAGCTGTGAGCGTGGGTATTAACCTAGCTACCGACCATTACTCTTAAGTGACATCTACTGGATTGCAGCCCAAAAGACAATACCATAAAGATTGCCGCTAATATGTATACCTGTGAACCCAAATGCAAGAATTCATCCACACATAAAGGTCCTGTACAGAGCCCTTGCCCTATGAAAACAACAGAAACAAAGCCAACTGCTTATACCTAACTTACACCAGAGTTAAAGGAACACTAATGCTAGATGACGAGTTAGTGGGTGCAGCACACCAGCATGGCACATGTATACGTATGTAACTAACCTGCACAATGTGCACATGTACCCTAAAACTTAAAGTATAATAGTAAAATAAATAAATAAATAAATAAAAAGAATAAGAAAAAAAAAAAAAGGAACACCAACCACCCAGATGAGAATCAGTGCAAGAACTCTGGTAATTCAAAAAACTAGAGTGTCCCCTTACCTCCAAATGAATCCATTAATTCCCCAACAAAGGTTATTAACCACTTTAAAGTAACTGAAGTGGCAGACAGCATCCAGGATTTGGATGGCAAGGAAATTCATCAAGATTGAGGATAAAGTTAAAACCAAATCCAGAGTCCAGTAAAATAATCCAAGAGCTGAGAGATTAAATAGCCATTTAAAGAAAGAACCAAACTAAACTTCTAGAGCTGAAAAACTCACTATAAGCATTTCATAATACAATCAGAAATATTAATATTAGAATAGATAAAGCTGAGGAAAGAATCTCAAGAGTTTGAAGACTGGTTCTTCAAATCAACTCAGACAGGAAAGAAAAAAGAATTTTTAAAAATGAGCAAAACCTCTGAGAAATACGGGATTATGTAAAGATACCAAATCTATGACTCACTGGCATTCCTAAGACAGAAGGAGAGAGAATATGCAACTTAGAAACTATATTTGAGGACTGTAATTAGGTCATTCTTGCTTTGCTATAAAGAAATACCTGAGACTGGGTAATTTATAAAGAAAAGATGTTTAATTGGCTCACAGTTGTGCAGGTTGTACACAAAGCATAACACAGGTATCTGCTTCTGGGGAGACCTCAGGAAGCTCCCAATTATGGTGAAAGGTATAGGGGGAGCAGACATCTCACACTGGGGAGCAGGAGCAAGAGAGAGAGGAGGAGGTGCCACACACTTTTAAACAACCAGATCTTGCAAGAACTCACTCACTATTACAAAGACAGCACCAAGGAGAAGGTGCTAAACCATTCATGAGAAATCCACCCCCATGATCCAATCACCTTCCTGCCTGGCCCTACCACCAACATTGAGGATTACATTTCAACATGAGATTTGGGCAGGGATAAATATCCAAACTATATCAAGGACATAGTCCACAAAAATTTTCTTAATCTCACTAGAGAGATTATACATGCAAATCTAAGAGATACAGAGAACCCCAGCTAGATACTGTGTAAGATGACTATCTATCTCTAAGGCACATAGTCTGATTCACAGAGGTCAATGTAAAAGAAAAAATCTTAAATGCATCTAGAGAGAAGGGCCAATTTACATAAAGAGGGAACCCCTTCAAGGTAGCAGCAGACCTCTCAGTAGAAGCCTTTCAAGCCAGAAGAGAATGGTGTACTATTTTTAACATCCTTAAAGGAAAGAAATTTCAACCAAGAATTTTTATATTCTGCCAAACTAAGTTTCATAAGTGAAGAAGTAAAGTCCTTTTCCAGACAAGCAAATGCTAAGTTGATACCTTTCAACTAGACCAGTCTTACAAGAGGTCCTTAAGGGAGTGCTAAACAGGGAAACAAAAGACCATTATTGGCCACCACAAAAACATACTTAGGTACATAGCTCACAGGCATAAATATAAAGCAAGGATACAATCAAGTCTATGTAAAAAACAGCTAACAACAGGATGAAAGGATCAAATTCACACATATCTATACTAACCTTGAATGTCAATGGGCTAAATGCCCCACGTAAAAGACAGACTGGATAAAAACATCAGACCAAATCATCTGTTGTCTTCAAGAGACCAATCTCACATGTAACAACACCAACAGCCTCAAAGTAAAAGATGGCCAAAAAAAAAATCTACCATGCAATGAAAAACAAAAAAGAGCAAGAGTCACAATTCTTACATCAGATGAAACAGATTTTAAATCAATAAAAATGAAGGACAATGAAGGGCATTACATAACGATAAAGGTTGCAATCTGACAAGAAGACTGAATTATCCTAAATATATATGCCCCCAACATTGGAGCACCTACATTTAAAAAACAAGTTCTTCTTTCCCTATGGAAAAACGTAGGCAACCACACAATAATAGTGAAGATTTTAACTCCCCACTGACAGCATTAGATAGATCACCAAGGCAGAAAACTAACAAAGAAACTCTGGACTTAAACTCAACACTTGACCAACTGGACATAAGAGACATCTACAGAACATTCCACCCAACAACTATAGAATAGATCTTTCTCATCTGCACATGGAACATATTCTAAGATTGATCAGATACTCAGTGATAAGGCAACACTCAACAACAAAAAAATAGGGAAAAAATAGGGAAAACATACTAAGCACATTTTTGGACCATAGTGCAATAAAAATAGAAGTAAATATCAAAAAGACCTTTCAAAACTATACAAACATATGGAAATTAAACAACTTGTTCCTAAATAATTCTTGAGAGAACATTGAAATTAAGATGGAAATAAAAAAATTATTTGAAATTGACAAAAATAGGGACAGAACTTACCAAAATCTCTGGGATGCAGCTATAGCAGTGTTAAGAGGAAAGTTTATAGCCATAAATGCCTTCATCAGGAAGTTAGAAATACCTCAAATTGACAATCTAACTTTGCACTTAAAAGAACTAGAAATAAAAGGAACAAACAAACCCCAAACCTAGTAGAAGATAAATAACTAAAATTAGAGAAAAATTTATGAAAATTTAGATGTAAAAATCCATACAAAAGATCAGTGAAACCAAAAGTGGATTATTTAAAAAATTAACAAGATTGATAGAGTGCTAGTTAGACTAGCAAAGAAAAAAGAGAAGATCCAAATAAGTACAATCAGAAATTACAATGATGATATTAAAAGCTATCCCACAGAAATAAAAAAGCTCTTTAGAGAATACTATAAACAAATTTATACACACAATTTAGAAAATCTAGAGGAAATGGACAAATTCCTGGAAACACACAATCTCTTAAGATTGAATCAGGAAGAGATTGAAATCCTGAATAGACCAATATCGAGCTCTATAATTGAAGCAGTAATAAACAACCTACAAACAAAATAAGTCCTAGACCAGATGGATGCACAGCTGAATTCTACCAGATGTACAAAGAACTGGTGCCAATCCTACTGAAACTATTCCAAAAAATCAAAGAGGAGGGATTCCTCCCTAACTTATTCTATGAAACCAGCATCAGCCTAATACCTAAATCTGACAGAGACACAATGAAGAAAGAAAAATTCATGCCAATATTCCTGATGAATACAGATGAAAAAATCCTCAAAAAACATTAGCAAACTGCATCTAGCAGCCCATCAAAAAGTTAATTCAACATGATCAACTAGGCTTTATTCATGGGATACAAGGTTGGTTCAACATACACAAATTAATGTGATGCACCACATAAACAGCATTAAATATCATATGATCATCTCAACAGATGCAGAAAAAATGATTAATAATATCCAAAATCCTTCCTTCATGATAAAAACCCTCCACAGACTAGCTATCGAAGGAGCATACCTCAAAATAATAAGAGCCATCTATGACAAACCCACAGCCAACATCATACTGAATGGGCAAAAGTTGGAAGTATTCCCCTTGAAAACTGGAACAAGGCAAGGATGCTCACTTTCACCACTCCTATTCAACATATTACTGGAAGTCCTAACCAGAGCAATCAGGCAGGAGAAAGAAATAAAAGGCATCCAAATAGAAAAGTAAAAGTCAAATTATCTCTTTTGGCCGATCACATGATTCTATACTTAGGCAACCCTAAAGACTCTGCCAAAAGGCTACTAGAACTAATAAAAGATTTTAGCAAGGTTTTAGAATGCAAAACCTATATGCAGAAATTGGTGGCATTTCTGTACGCCAGTAACATCAAGGCTAAGAGTCAAATGAAGAACACAATCCCGTTTACAATAGCCACAAAGAAAATGAAATAGCTAGAAATACATCTAACCAATGAGGTGAAAAATTTCTACAATGAGAACTATAAAACACTGTTCAGAGAAATCAAAGATGACACAAATAAATCAGAAAACACCCCATGCTCATGGAGTAGGAGAGTCAATATTATTAAAATGGCCATAGAGCCCAAAACTATTTAGAGGCTCAACACTATTCCTATCAAACTGCCAAAATAATTATTAACAGAATTATAAAAAAGTATTTTTAAATTTATATGGAACCAAAAAGAGCCCAACTAGCCAAGGCAATCCTAAGCAAAAAGAACAAAGCCAGAGGCATCACACTACCTGATAAGGTTTGGCTCTTTGTTGCCATCTAAGTCTCATGTTGAATTGTAATCCCCAATGTTGGAGGAGGGACCTGGTGGGAGGTGATGGGATCATGGGAGTGGATTTACCCCTTGCTGTTGTCATGAGAGTGAGTTCTTACAAGATCCGGTTGCTTGAAAGCGTATAGCACTTCCTTCTTCACTCTCTCCTCTTTCTCCTGCCAGCTTGTGAAGATGTGCTTGCTTCCCCTTCACCTTCCTCCATAATTGTAAGTTTCCTAAGGCTTCCTCAGCCATGCCTGCTATACTCCATGACACTATAAAGATACGTCAACCAAAACAGCCTGATACTGGTACAAAAACAGATGCATAGACCAATGGAACAGAACAGAAATCTCAGAAATAAAGCCACACATCTACAACCATCTGATCTTCAACAGGGCTAACAAAAACAAGCAATGGGGAAAGGACTACCTATTCAATAAATGGTACTGGGATAACTAGCTAGCCATATGCAGAAGAATGAAATTAAACCCTTACTTTTCACCATATACAAAGAATAACTTAAGATAGATTAAAGATGTAAATGTAAGACCTCAAACTATAAAAAGCTTAAAAGAAAACCTAGGAAATACCTTTCTCGGCATCAGCCCTAGCAAAGAAATTTTGACTAAGTCCCTCCAAATAGTTGCAACACAACAGATATTGACAAGTGGGAGCTAATTAAAGAGCTTCTGTACAGCGGAAGAAACCATCAACAGAGTAAACAGACAACCTCAGAATCCGAAAAAATATCTACAAACCATATATCTGACAAAGGTCTAATATCCAGCTTCTATAAAGAACTTAACCAATCAGCAAGCAAAAACCAACCCCATTAAAAAATGGTCAAAGGATATGAACAGACACGTCTCAAAAGAAGACATGTAAGTGGCAGACAAATATATGAAAACAAGTTCATCATTACTAATAATCAGAGAAATACAAATCAAAACCACAGTAAGATACCATCTCACACCAGTACGAATGGCTATTATTAAAAAGTCAAAAAATAACAGATATTGGTGAGGTTGCAGAGAAAAAGGAATGCTTATACACTGCTAGTAGAAATGTAAATTAGTTCAGCCACTGTGGAAAACAGTTTGGAGATGTCTCAAAGGACTTAAAATAGAACTACTATTTGACCCAGCAATCCCATTAGTCAGTATATACCCCAAGGAATATAAATTGTTCTGTGATAGGTCACATGCATGTGTATGTTCATTGTAGCACTATTCACAATATCAAAGACATGGAATCAACCTAAACGCCCATCAATGGTGGACTGGATAATGAAAATATGGTACATTTATAACATGGAATACTATGTAGACATAAAAAAACACCTCAAATCATGCCCTTTGCAGTATCATGGATGGAGGTGGAGGCCATTATCCCATGTGAGCTAACAGAGCATCAGAAAACCAAATACTGCATATTCTCACTTATAAATGGGAGCAAAAAATTGAATACACGTGGACACAAAGAAGAGAACAATAAACACTAGGGCCTACTCGGGGGTAGAGGGTGGGAGGATGGTGAGGGTCAAAAAACTACCTATCAGGTCTTATGCTTATTACCTGGGTGGCAAAATAATCTGTGCACCAATTTCCTGCAACACATAATTTACCTATTTAATGAGATTTAAAAGCAACCTAAGTGTCCTTCAACAGATGAATAAAGGAAATGTGGTACATATACCCAATATAGTACTATTCAGCCATAAAAAAAGAAGATCCCACCATTTGCAAAAACATGGATGAAATTGGAGGTCATTATGTTAAGGGAAATAAGCCAGGCATAGAAAGACATACTTCACACATTCTCACTTATTTATGGGAGCTAAAAATTAAAATAATTGAACTCATGGAGATAAAGAGTAGAAGGACGGTTACCAGAGTCTGGGAAGAGTAGTGGGGGTGTGGTGGGAGGGAAGTGCAGATGGTTAATGAGTGCAAAAAAAAATTATAAAGAATGAATAAGATCTAATATTTGCTAGCACAACAAGGTGATTATAGTAAAAAATAATTGTACATTTAAAAATAACAAAGTGTATAGTTAGATTGTTTATAACACAAAGGATGAATGCTTGAGGTGATGGATACCCCATTTATCCTAGTGTTATCATGCACTGCATGCCTGTATCAAAATATCTCACATAACCTATAAATATGTACACCTACTATGAATCCACAAAAATTAAAAAATTAAAACATGCACAAGTACCCTGAACCTAAGAGTTGGAAAGAAAATATTAAAATTGCATCTAGTAATTTTAATTTGACATGATTTTATTTAAAGCAATAAATTAAATAGAAATCTCTATCACTAATATTCCCTATAGATTATTTATGCAATCTCTCTCTATATATTGAGAGGGAAATAAATAAAATTGAAACAAAATATGTAGATGAGAGAGAAAAAGGTAATTTTAAAGTAATATGCTTACATAAATACCCCTACCTTTGAGAAAAGCCCGAAGGGATTTGTTTTCTCCCCTGTTTACTGCGGGAACCTGGACAAGATCCTGGAGGTAAATCTCACAAAATTGGGAGGGTCCCCCTATGACTGGGTGCTTTCTAGAGTTTTTAAGTCTTAGAGTTGCCTGCACGGGGCCTCTAGCAATTTGTCAATTACAGTTCAGATTTTTCCTTCCCTGGTACTGATTCCTGCAGAGGTTTCTGCTTGTGAGTCTCTGCTCCAGTAAGCTGTGACTTCCTGCATTCACCTATCTCTCCAATCTTGGGGGCAATGCTTCGCCCTGTGTCTCACCTCTCTTACAGATTCAAGAAGCGTTGTTGATATTTTCAGTTTGTTCTGCTTTCTCCATGTTATTAGGACAGAGTGGTAACTTCCAAGCTCCTTACATGTGAAACTAGGTGGGGATATAGTTCTCAGGGACAGTGAACCCAGGCAAGTAGACAAAAGTTATCAGTGGGGAATAACTGCTGGAGTCTTATGAACAAGTTGAGTACATTTAAATTTAATTTTCTTAAATCTTTCTATAGCAGGTGAGATTTCTGGACTTTTTTCTATGATGAATACATTTGTATATCTGTCTAAAAATTAAAATTAGAGATTGTGAAAAGCTCCATGAAGTGACCTAGAAACTATGGAAATTTCTTGCAAATGCTAGATGAAGGAAAGTCAACACCAAAGGCAATCTACAAGCTGCACGCACGTTGAAAATACTGAAGGTCACACGTATGTCATTTTACCAGATGTGCATATCATCACAAATGTACATCCTCAGCAATCCCTATGGCAGGATGCCCAGGGGGAAGAGAAACGGAGACTGTATCTAGGGAAACATCCTTGGCTTCTGCCATCAAATACTGAGATTTAATATTCTTTTTACTTTTATCCAATTAACAAGTACTTTAGTCATAAGACAGAGTCCTGGAACACACCTCCCCTCCAAAAATTAATGATTTTTATTTTTAACAAGGTATTGTATTTCTAGGAACAGGAATTTCTTTGTAAGTTTTTCATTTTGTCATTTTCTAGTGCTGGAGCACTTTCCAGGATTCTATAGCTTTTTGACATTGCTGGTTACACCCTAGATATGACAACAACCTATAATCGGAGATAATGTTAAAGGTTCAGTATTTGGAAGTTGTCCTTATGAATTTAATATATTTTATTTTTCTTCTTAGCAATATCTAGTTGAGTATCTGGTTTTTGTAGAATGAAATTATTGGCACTCATATTCAAGTGATTACCCTGAGGAAATGCTCACTTCTTGCTGTTTCTCTTAGAGAATATGATAATGAATTGACAAAAAAAAAGATATAAAGGAAAAATGCCAGATTGGTTTAAATCCAGATTCCTGTTGGTACTTTGATAATGGCATATGCTGTTCTTTGTGCTAAGAACAAGAAATCCCAGTCTTCAAAACATTTGAAAGGTAATTTTATTGACAGACAAATTGTCTCACAACAAAGACCCTAGCTCATATATAAGAATTGGAAACCTGGTCAAGAATTAAATAAATAATATCCTGCCCTTTGTTTTCCCTTGAACGGTTCAGATAGAAAGATGCTTAGCACCCTGGCTGCATATTAGAGTCACCTGGGGAGTGCTGTAAACATACCATTGCTCAGGCTTTCCCCATCTCCTAGGTTTGGGTTCTGTTTTTCTGGAGTAGGGCCAGTCTTTTCAGTTCTAAAACCTGCCTGGGTGAGCCTAATATGTAGTGAGGCTTGAGAACCACTGCAACTTAGGGCAATTCTCATACATGGAGTGGAACAAAAAGATGGGAACCAGAAACGTGTAACTCAGCCAGAGGAAGAGGGGAAGGAGAGGCAATGAAAAGTTAATGTTAGTTTAGTTTGAACTTTCCTAAATTATTGAAAATCACTATTTTATGTTCCTACTCCATGACAGTGACATGGCTGATTGGAAAGACCCTGATCTTGGTGTTGAGCAAGTGATCAGGTTTCCAATGTTAGAGTCACCCCAATATTTTAGGCTCAAAGCCTCAGAAGCAAGCTTGTTAGAGTTTCTGCTTTAATTATGCCACTTTCCATATTAAGATACCAATTGATGAGAGTGAGATCAGTTTCAAGCTGGAGCTGAGACTCAGGAGTGAAAAATAAACATAAAAAATTGTTTTGTATTCCTACCCCCTCCTTCCTTCTGCTCATGGTTTGCAATCACCACTACTCCCCAACCCCTGTCACTGGCCCACAACTGGTGGAAGCCTCCACTTCTGGCCCAACTTCATCTTTATCATATATTTATGAGATAAAGATATATATGTGTATGTATATGTGTATGATGTATATATAATATATGTATATATGTCCATCTCTAGCCTACTTCAACCTTCTCCTCCCAGTTGAGAATATGACTGCATTTTTTTCCTTTTGTTTCCTTTTTTTTTTTTTTTTTTTTAGTAGGGACAGGTCTCACTATATTGCCTAGGCTGGTCTTGAACTCCTGGCCATAAGCAATCTTCATGTCTTGGCATCCCGAAGTGCTGGCATTACATGCGTGAGCCAGAATGCCCGGCCATAGCTGCCTTTCTTATCTTCTCTTGGTTCTGTAATGCTGCTTTCCTTTCTGAGGATTCTTCAACTCCAGTTCGCCACATTTATAGTCTCTCCTACTTCTAGTTCATAGGACTATTTCTACAGTTTTGTCTCCTATTCAAGGCCACTGGCCAAGTTCAGTTTTTTTCATATAATCCTGACAAATAAGCTGGATAAAAATGCTGTCTCTTTTTACAACCAGGGAATTTGAGTACCTGGAGAATGAGACTACAAAATAAAATGTGTTTGTAACATCAAATCCTGACCTTGCCTCATGCAAAATTTTAATAAAGTGAGAATGATAATGTCTCCTTAAAAGTTAGAGTTTAAAATGATATAATGCATTTCATATTGCTGCCATACATTGGCATGTTCCAACACTTAATCAAGTCTCCCCTGTGCTCCCTAGAGGCAGGCTCTCATCCAGATTGTTATTTTTATTTAATATCTCAGGTTTGGAACATATGGGATATATTCCTGTAATCCCCCAAAAGGAAGGGTGTGAAGCTTTTCTTGTTTTCTCTAAATTACTCAGGAAACTTTTACAAAATTTTTACCTACATCCATATAATTTATTATTGACAAAATATTGGTGTTTATAAATTGGGAATAGAAACGTCCACAGATGGACTTTAGGGCTGTATTTGTGTTGTTGGAATCTGGATTGCACTGAGGATATTAACAGTTGTTTCAGATGAACTACATTTTCCCTCATTTAAAGTAGACTTGACTTTTTAGACTCGTTTTGGGTTCACAGCAAACTTAAGTGCAAAGTACAGAGATTTCCCATATACTCTCTCCCCACACAAATGCATAGCCTCCCCCATTATCAATATCCACCAGAGTACTACATTTGTTTCAATTGATGAACCTGTATTGACACATCATAATCATCCAGAGTCCATAGTTGGTTTACATCAGGGTTCACTTTTTGTGTTGTGCATTCTGTGGGTATGGAAAAATGTGTAATGGCGTGTCTAACATTGTTGTATCATACACAGTAGGTTCACTGCTCTAGAAATCCTCCGTGCTCAGCTATTCATCCCTTCCTTCTCTCTAATCCCTGGAAACCACTGATCTTTTAACCGTCTCCATAGTTTTGCCTTTTTCAGAATGTTATCTAGTTGGAATCATGCAATATGTAGTCTTTGTCAATTAGCTTCTTTCACTTAGTAATATACATTTAAGTTTCTTGCATGTCTTTTTGTACCTTGGTAACTCATTTTTCAAACACTGAATAATATTTTGTTGTCTGCATGTACTACAGTTTATTTACTCATTCACCCACTGAAGGACATCTTGGTTACTTTTTGGCAATTATGAATGGAACTAAAACATCGTGTGGAAGTTTTTGTTTGGACATAAGTTGTTTTTTTTTTTAGTTTTACTTTAAGTTCTGGGATACATGTACAGAAGAACGTGCCGGTTTGTTACATAGGTATACATGTGCCATGGTGGTTTCCTGCACCTTTCAACCTGTCATCTAGGTTTGAAGCCCTGCATGCATTAGGTATTTGTCCTAATGCTCTCCATCCCCTTGCCCCCTACCCGCCGACAGGTCCTGGTATGTGTTGTTCCCCTCCCTGTGTCCTCGTGTTCTCATTGTTCAACTCCCACTTATGAGTGAGAACATGCGGTGTTTGGTTTTCTGTTCCTGTGTTAGTTTGCTGAGAATAATGGCTTCCAGCTTCATCCATGTCCCTGCAAAGGACATGAACTCATTCTTTTTTATGGCTGCATAGTATTCCGTGGTGTATATTTGCCACATTTTCTTTATCCAGTCTGTCATTGATGGGCATTTGGGTTGGTTCTAAGTCTTTGCTATTGTAAATAGTGCTGCAATAAACATACGTGTGTATGTGTTTTTATAGTGGAATGATTTATAATCTTTTGGGTATGTACCCAGTAATGGGTTGCTGGGTCAAACGGTATTTCTGGTTCTAGATCCTTGAGGAATCGCCACACTGTCTTCCACAATGGTTGAACTAATTTACACTTCTACCAACAGTGTAAAAGCGTTCCTATTTCTTGACAGCCTTGCCAGCATCTGTTGTTTCCTGAATTTTTAAAAATCACCATTCCGACTGGTGTGAGACAGTATCTTATTGCAGTTTTTAACTCTTTTGTGTAAATACTAAGGAGTACTATTGCTGTATTGTTAAAAAATGACATTTTTGTTTCAAAATTAATATTTACTGACATTTACAACATGGTAGATTAAATCCACTTTAGAATTATAATAGAACTTTCAATCAATAGACCCAACACTCAAGCAGGATGCTATACCCAATAGTTGGCTACTTTGAATAATACAAATGTCACAACTTGAGACACTTTTACTGTCTTGAATAGTATACCTCATGCTATGAGGGGCTCCCAATGAACAAACTGATGCATTGTTCTGTTTCTCATGTGTTACGATTTTCAAAGTATTATGCCCCAACTTATTTCCTTGTGCCAATGCTGTGTCTAGCTGAACTTCACTTTAAATATAAGTGATCAGAGCATGCCAGTGAACTGGTGGGGAAGGTCTAACAGAAGATATTTAGAGGGGTAGGATGAGGACAGGAGATCTTGTTTGGGGGAATGGGGAGCCTAAGTAAATGAGCTTACTATAATAGAGATATAGTTGTAAGTTAGGGGAAGTGATTCTGAATACAGCGTGATTGTTATTTTCCATGTGTATCTTACAACTTAGCTCCTCTTGGATTAGAGCAGTGGAGAATAGGGACTGTCCATTAAAGCTGAAATTATTTTATTTAGTTTTTTTCTGAGAAAAATTTACAGAACACTGGATAAACAATCTTACTTTGGAAACTCTAGACCATGGTGTAACCAGAAGAGAAAGAAGCATTTTCCCCTACCTAACCACAGATAACCCTACAGATTTAGCAAAACAAACAGTCAGTGGGCATTAGAGCCTGTCAGAGCCCAGTAGGATCCATCAATGCCAGTGTTGCCACCTATTGGGTATCTAGTAGTGACAAGAAGGCTGTACCAGGGATGTGACCAAGTAGAGTGGCAATGGGGCTTGGCAGAGCAGACTTGATCGAAAGCACAGGTGTAATAAACTTGGGAATTTTCAGCCTGTAGTAGTGAGACCTGGAGGGAAAGTAACACTTCAGGGATGTGGAGCAACAAGGTAGAAGGAGCCTGGGTCCCCAGATGACCCCATGGAGCCAATTCACAATGCTAGCCCTGCCCATGTCTCTCTGGGCCATTAAACAACAGAGATAAAGTTGTCTCCATTTGCCACAATGTTATTTTGGGTCTCTTCTAACTGCAGCAGATCTTATATTCTAGTAATGCCCTCTTTCTCAGTTAGACCATCCTCCACACCATGCTCTTTTGCTAACTTCTGTCTTCCCCTGTGGATATTCCTCTATACAGTCTGTCCTTCAGTTATTTCCTATCCCCCTGCCCTATTTCCTGTGAAAACATACATGTGACTTGAAAAATGGCTCAGAGCCCTATTAAGATGTTCTTTAAGAAACTAAATTTTGATTTGTTTGTTTTTTAGAGACAAGGTCTCACTCTGTTGCCCAGGCTGGAGTGCAGTGGTGTGATCATGGCTCACTGCAACTTTAAACTCCTGGGCTCAACCAATTCTTCCACCTCAGCCTCCCTAGTAGCAGGGACTACAGGTGCTCATACCATGCCTAGCTAATGTGTGTGTGTGTGTGTGTGTGTGCGCGCGCGTGCATGTGCATAGAGAAAGGATTTCACCAAGTTGCCGAGGCTGGTCTCAAACTGATGGTCTCAAGCGACCCTCTCACCTCAGCCTCCCAAAATGCTGGGATTACAGGTGAGGGCTACCTTGCACAGCTGAAACTAAAATTTTATAAGTGGTAAATATTACTTACATTTTTAAGAAAGGCTTTTGTTGTAAAAGGAAGAAGGAGAGGCTGACGGTAGGGATGTCAGGCAGGTGACTGACAAAGGAGCTGACACTTTTGTGCCTGGGCCCTGTAGGCATCCTTCAACTAACATTTTAATTGTATCACTGCCCCAACTTGATATGTGTATTTGTCTGACACTGAGGGAGGAAATGCACAGAGCTCTCCTGCAAGTATCCTTTATAGTAATCTCAGTGTATTTCCTACAGTATGGCTCATCTGAACTGCTTCCACTCTGAGAACTTAATATTTCCCAAGATGTAAGGCTAAGAAAATAAAAATAATTAAGTGAAAGACATTCACATGGTCAATATTCAAGAGTATTCAGACTAATACAGTTACAAACAGGTTACTTTGCTTTGCTATAATAGTCTTTTTACTATATATATGTATCCCATAACATCGCGTTGTATACTAACTACACACAATGAAATTTATATTAAAAATGAAAACAAATATGGAGCTGTTGATTTCAAACCCAAATCAGAGCAGAATGGACCTGCCTGAAGTCTGTATCTTCTCTCTGTTTTAGCATATACCTTATGAGATGTTGCTCTGTGGGATATAATATGTCTAGAACGGTGTCCCTCACATCACAGGTGATTAACAAACATTATTGAATTGATGATGAATGACTGTGCTATGTGAATAACATTAAGCAGGTAAATCACCCCTTGTTAAGCTTCTTATGCATTTCTAGTCCCTAAGAAACCCTGTGTATGTGACAGACATGGAAAACACATCAGCTAGAGAAAAAAATTAGAAGAATAGTTAAAGGGTCGAGGAGAGAAAATGAAAAGAAAGACAAAATTGATGACTCTCTTTTTGTATTCAGCACTGTATTCCTAGAATAAAATTTCTTTATTCAGCAGCAGAGTTAATTTACATCCACTAAGCCCAGGACAAGGCATCAGAAGGTGGGAAGGAGCAACTCTAAGGCATTGAGAGTATTAATTTCTTTCAAAAATGGGAAAACACAGACACAATTGCTGGCAATTTCTAGCAGTAACTTAAGATGTTGTAGAAAATATTCCTACAGAAACACAAGTACCATGACAGGCTTCAGGTAGGTGGTATGTATTTTTACTTCTTGCAGTAGATACAAACAAACAGGAAGAAAGTGCCAGCTTCCACTTGTAAGGCTCACTGAAGCTAAATCAAGCATTGCTTAGTTCAGAGGAATGGGTTAATTTTCTATTCACTGAATTCCGCATGCCTGACAGGTTGTTGATGACTTATTTTTATTTGCTTAGCTTATTCCAGGTTGTATCACCTGGAATTCTCTCAGCTTGATCAAAATGTAGTTCTAATCAATGAGCAGCCTCTGATTCCAGTCTTTTAAGGAGGACCATGCCTGCACCTGCTCAGCACACACTCACCCGGTGATCTTTGGCAGAGGGTGCTGCTTCTTTCATGAACATGTTCTCATGCAACACCTTCCTCAGTGCTCATTGCAACAACCTGTCCTCAAATTGAAGCTGCAGCAGATCAGTGGTGTGCTGGTAAAGGTTTAATAAGAGGCTCTGGGGTTGATAGTTGACTTTGTGAGAAGGGAACCCTCATCTGTAGCATTTGCCAGTTTCTATGGGTAGAACTACACCTACCATGACATATTTTGGTGTTTATGTGAAGCCACAGAGCCCAGAGTTGGAAAGAGATGTGCACAATTGATTCTCAGGAGCTGGTACAAGCTGGCTGCAGCACACCTCTACGTGTGCAGCTGACCACCCTCCAGGTCCTTCCTGAAACCCACTATTCCTTAACCTCTGAGGTTGAATACTACATCAATATTTCTCTTAAGAGTATATACTTAGAAAGGTCTCATGGCTGGTTTTCCTCTCTAGAATTCCCACAGGGGCTAATATATATTTGTTCAACTTTCCGACAACGTGACTCTCTGATCCTGCCATTAAAAATCACCATCCCCTGCCATCCCTTTTCCTTCTCTCTTTCCTCTTTAGCTCTGTTCCACCTGTCCCTGCTCTCACTGCTGCCTTCTTTCTACTAGTCCCGCAAATAGTTCCCTTATCTCCTGTCCTTCTTTTTTTTTTCTTAACTACTTCCCTCACAATGACCCAAATCATGGAAGTAGCCTGTCCCTCCTGATCCAAGCAAGTGTCTAAAGACTATGCTGCCTTTGTCCGAGAAAATAAATGGCATTCTTCCTGTTCACCTCATTGAGTGAGATGGAGGAATCAGAGTACTGCTTTCTCTCTACTGCCTCTTCTTGGCCACTGCTACATTCACATTTCTAAAAACTAACTCATATTTTGTGGTACCTCTTATGTTCTGATGTCATTTCTCTCCACTCCTGTTGCTTTTATCTGTAATTTCCAGGAAAGGCGCCAAACATCCCTGATGAGTTAAGCACCAGATTCATACGTCTTTTCGTTTCCCTTTATTTTGTCATTATTCTGATGAGTTTCAGCTACCACTTACTTTTATAAGCACACTCTGGCTTTTTGCCCTCATGCATCATTTATTCTAGCCAAAACAAACTGTTTTCTCATATACACATTTTCTTCTCTCCTGTCTCAGTAGCTATGGCAATTATTTTCCACTTGGTCCCTACCCTGCTCCATTTTCTACCTCAAGCTGTGCTCCAGAGCTGTTCCTACTGACTGTGTTTCTTGTTGGGATCAGCTGGTGAGCGTTCAAGCAGGGAGGTTGGAGAGTGGGAAGGGAGAGGCTGAGGCTTTTCCTCCTGTCTCTTCCTGTCTCCTTCTGTCTCCCTCTTCTCCTCCTGCATCAGCATCATGGCTCTTGCAGCAGCTGCATCCCTCTAGGATGAATGCTCTGTCAGGCCATTCTTTCTACATGGCTACACTCTTCACTGGCTCCCTGAACACTCTTTCCTAGGAGTGACTTCTCACTGTTGCCTGTCCCTAGGCCCCTCATGTCCCTTGTCCGTGTCCTTAACTTTGCCAGTCATCTCCATAAATAGTTATTTTGTTACAGTCTTTCCAGAGGTCCATAAGATTACACCTGAGGTTTCCTGCAAAGATAGTCACTACTCTGGGACCAGAGCTAATACCAATTATTCCATCTGGAGTTCCCCATACAGCATTCTCTCCATGTGAACATTCTATTTCTCTATAAGCTCTACACCAAATGCTACTTAGTACATAAAATGATATTCCTGTGTTTCTCCCAGTTGAAAATAATATCTCCCCTCTTAGAAATCCAAAGGCATTTATCTACAGATCTTTTAATGGGTATGAATAATTTACCCAAATAAAAAACAGTCTGTCTATGTCTTATCTCTGTCAGATTTGAAGGTGGGATTTAAGTTTGATTCCTAAGTACCAGTGCAGGGTCCTTCAATAGATACTCTGCACGTATCTGTTGCATGAATGAGCAAGTTATGAGTGTTGTCATCTTTCATTTCTCTACCATTTATATTTTGCCTAGCTCATCTTAACTACTAATAAGCGCTCCTTTAAGCATAGACTTTATGTTGCATTTTCTCTTTCTTACCTTTCTGTCTATCTCACAAGTTACATTTCTTTATTTTAATCTGCTCAGGCTGCTGTAACAAAATACTGTGGACTGGATGGCTTCAACAGCAGACATTTATTTCTCACAGTTCTGGAGGCTGGGAGTCTCGTGATCACGGTGCCCGCTGATTTGGTTCCTTGTGAAGGTTCTCTTCCTGGCTTGTAGACAACCATCTTCTTGTTGTGTCCTCACATGGTGGGGGTTGAGGAGAGAGAGAGAATACAAGAGCATATGCGAACAAGTGAGCACTCTGGCCTCTCCTTATAAGGGCACTAATCCCTTCATGAGGACCCCATCCTCATAACCTCATCTAAACCCAATTACCACCCCAAAGTTCCATCTCTGGAGATCATCATATTGAGGATTAGAGCTTTGACATATAAATTTTGGGGGGACACCATTCAGTCCCTAGTGCATTTCTATAGTTGAACGAACTCATTGATAAAGTTGAGTCCTAAGTTTCTTACATTTTTCTTTTGCAGTATCAGACTTGCGTCTCTCACTTCAACTTTGTATTTCTATATGTAGTCATCACTACTTTAATCTTCCACTATCCCATGTTGATAGAAAGATCCTGCTCTTCAAAAAAGCTCCTCAGCTTGATGTTCACACTTCTTCTGAAAGTCATCTGTATTCTCCTAATAAGCCCAAATCAGAAACTTGGAGTCATCTTTTCATACAATTTCTTTGACTTCTTGACTCTACCTTTGTAAATTCCCTTGCATATAAAATATTTTTTCTATAAACACTTCAATTGTAATTTATTTTTCCATGTATTTTTTGCCAAACTTATGCTATATACTAAAGAGTTTCCATATTTCCCATGTTTTCATCATTATAATATATAGACCTATGCTATTTAGAGCTAGAATAAATATTAGAAGCCAAGTTCACCATCTTTATTTTACAGAGAGCTCAGTGGGACCAAAAGGGGTCAAATGATTCACTTAATCTCACACATATGGGTAGTGTGGCAAAGCTGGACCAAGAGACTAAATCTCATGACACCCAGTGTAGCATTTTTTCCACTTTCCCAGGATTCAACCTCTGTCCTGCTGCCAGATTAATGTTTATCCTCACTAGTCTATTCATGTTGTACTCTTGCTTATTAACTACTTGTGGTTTTTATTCTCCGTTACCTTACAGAGTTAAGTCACTCCGACATTCAGTTAAGTACACTACATCTACATACTCCACTTTCAGCTTTTTTCACTGCTCCAATGTGTGTAAAATTATTTGCATATTATATAGCTTGTTCTTTGCTAGCTACACTCTATGCTCTTCTACCTTCATATCTAATGCTTATCCTTTTACTTTCTTTTCTTTAAATGTACTTGCCCCCATCCCTGACCATCTTTGGAATACATTATAAATGTCATGTTTTCCATTATGCATTTTGATATTCCCTTAACTGGATATACTGTCTCCCCCCTTTAACTCACCTTTACATTTTGTCTGTGATTTGTTATTGGAAGTAATTAATTCTTCCTTATAAAATTGTCTAAGCATATTTGCCTCTTTCCATTTTCCTGTCCCAACTTATGCAACTTTATGTCTCTCATAGCACCAGGCCTAGTATTTTGTACAAAATGGACACTAAATGTTGATAAGTGTTAATATTTGATAGTCCAAGCCATCGAAGTTAGGTGTTTCATGCACTTGCTTGCTTATTTTTATACATTAGTATCTTTGCTCTAATCTCTTAAGATGCATATCTCACAAATACATTTGAAAATAAATAGTTATTTATCTGTGGGATGGTGGTGCTGTCTGTAAAGTTATGGTACAGAATCTTCCTCCTCCAATAAACAAAAGCAAAACAAAAACAACCCTGCCAATTTTCCCATCAGCAGGAAGAAATGGGGAAGGATTATAACCTCAAAAATGATGACCAGTGAAGTAACAGAAAATTCTGGTGTCATGGCCAGGTCAACAGAATTCCCAACTCTTATTCCACCTCCAGAAGTGGCACTGAGGATAACTGAGGATATAAGAAGTGACACAAATCCTGAATCTGAATGCTCTGTAACTTGAAAGGAGTGGTTTGAAGGGATGAATTGATGGGTCTGGGAAAATCAAGATAAAACACTTAGTGGATGCTCTACAAATCACATCTGGACCTTGGCAGAAGCAGGAAGGGCCATAGATTCTCTTGCTCCAGCACACAGTGCTAAATTAGGGGAGTAAGCCAAAGCCCAAAAGACTTGAATTCATGCCAAGCTTGGTGTAATGGAGTCCAATGAAGAACATCTGGTGGGATCTCAGCAAGAAGAGTAAACCCAGGACCTCCTCAAAGACTGCAATCAGTCCCAGCTGTGCTTCCCACTCTCTTCTGTCTGTTCTCTGTACCTTCTAGTACACAGGGGGAAGATAAATAATCCCAGATAAGGTAAGAGTGATGTCAAGGAGAAACCACATACACCATTTCCTAGTAAATATAAGATATTAACAAAGGTACAAGAGGAAAAAAATGGTTTGAGAGTGATGAAAATATATTACAGCCCCCAAATAAAAATATATTAATATATAAATGGAGAAAGGCATTGATTTTAAAACATAACACAGATAATCCAATTTGAAAGAATATACAATCCGAGGAACTAAAATTCCTTTGCTGGTGTTTTGCATTTATTGAATAATCCAATAAGGACATAGATTTAGTAAAACAAGGAAAACAATAATGTAATAAAAGATCAGAATTATGAGAAAAGGAATATTATAAGGAAAAGAAAAAACTGATACAAAACAAACAGTATAAATTAGAAGCAGCAGGAAACAGAAGTCATCATGGAGATAATGATTTATTTAGTTATAGACAATAGGTTTAAATAATTAGACAATAGGTATATAAACTATAGTGCATCCACCATAGGGCTATTGATACTGCTGAAGTAAAGACACCAACAAATAGAACAGAAAATAATGAGGGATATAAAAGAGGGAAACTTACCTAAAGTAAAGTGAATGACTAAATATTTCAGTTAATAGGGCAAATGCCAAGAAAAGTTAATAAAAAGCTAATACTATAAGACATATTTAGTTATTAAATTTCAAAAATAAAAGCATTCAGAAATTGATGAGTCTGGGAAAATCAAGATAAAACACTTAGTTTCAGAAAAAAAAATAGCAAGTTACATAACAAGTGGGAAATCTGATTGGCCTCAGAATAAATATTGAGTTTCAGAAACAATGTAACAAAGTTTCCATTATATATAGCAAATTGCTCTTCAGTTATAAATACAACAGAAAGGCATTTCTATACATTAAATAACAGGTTTAATGAAATTTTACAACAATGAAACTTAAAAATCCCTACTTGGAGATTAAATGCAACCAATGAAGAGATAAATCATAATAAAGAATAGAGAAATTAGGAAACCATGGTTATATAACAGGTGGCTGAACACTTACTTCATTTAAGTATGACCTAAGATAAAACAACTGAGGTAATTATTATTGCAGAGTAGAACAGATATATAATAAAACCATCATAAATTAAATATTATAAAAGCAACAAACTCAGAAGAAAAGAGAAATAGAGGTTCTTAATTATATCATCTTTCAGAGGAGTTAATGATGATTACTGAAATTAATATATGTAATTTAAATAAATCTATGCTGAATACAAGTTATTGATTAATTTTTTTTTAATTTAGAGGGACATTTTGGTACCTATTACCTGATATGATGAAGACAATATGAAGTCCTACAATTTTTTCATTCACCTTAGTTGCATTTTTCATTATATTCATGTCAAATTAAAATTACTAGCTTCTATTTTAAAACAGCATTTATCCAAGCATATTACTTAGAAATTATGTTGTCGTTTTCTTTCTCATCTACAAAATTTTGTCTAAATTTTTATTTCCCTCTCCACATATGTAGAAAAGTTGTTTAAATAATCTATATGGAATATTAATGGTAATGATTTCTATTTCAAGTAATTTATTGCTTTCATTAAAATCATGTCAAATTAAAATTGCTAGATGCAATTTTTTAATAACTTTTTCCCAGTTTTTAGTTTGGCTTAATTTAGTTTAGGTTGAATATGCATTATCACTTAAAATTGTCATATTATTGCTTCAAAATTATTTTGGTAAATTAATTTTTGACAAAATTATTAAAAGTCCATAGAAAATTATTGGGAAGACCAAGCTACAAAGATAAGACTCCTATTGAAGGAGGTGGAGCAAGATGGCCGACTAGAACCCTTCAGAAATTCCCTCCCTCATCCTCTGCAGGAACATAAAATCAAACAATTATCCATGCAAAAAGCACCTTCATAAGAACCAAAAATATCAGGTGAGTGATCAGAGTACCTGGGTTTAGCATAATAACAAGGACACATTGAAGAGGGTAGGAAGGACAGTCTCTGATGTTCCCTACACTACCCCTACCTCCACTCCCAGCAGTACAGCCAAGAGAGAAACTCTGTGCTTGGAGGAGGCAGAGCAAAGTGAGTTTGGAACTTGGCATTGGAACTCAGTCCCACCCTGTCACAGTTAGAACATAGCACAGGGCAGAATTCTGTTGATGCCATTAAGACAAGCCCTGGGCCCGAGGAGACTTCATCACCCAAGGAGGAGGAAACTGAGTCCCAAACAAACAAGGCCAGACTGTGAAGACTAGAACAAATACCTAACTCTTCAATGCCCAAATAAGGACAAATGTTCATAAGCATGAAGGACATCCAGGAAAATATTGCCTCACCAAACAGACTAAATAAGGCACCAGTGAACAACCCTCGAGTGACAGAGATATATAACCTCTCAGATAGGGAATTCAAAATAAATATTTTGAGGCAGCTTGGCAAACTTCAAGATAACACAGAGAAGGAATTCATAAATCTATCTAAGAAATTTAAATACTGGAGCAGAAAAATTCAATAGATAAACTAAAAAATGTAACACAGTCTTAACAGAATTAAGCAGAATAAGGAACTAGTGAACTCAAAGATGAGCTATTTAAAAAATAGGAAGATAATAAAAAATAATTAAAAAGAATAAAGTATGCTTACAAGATCTAAAAAATAGTCTCAAAAAGGCAAATTTAAGAGTTATTGTCCAAAAAGAGGATGTAGATAATGAGATCAGGGTAGAAAACTTATTCAAATAAATAATAACAAAGTACTTTCCAAACCTATAGAAAATTATTAATATCCAGGTACCAGAAGTTCACAGAACATCAAAGAAGACACAATCCATATAAGACTATCCCAAGGCATATAATCAACTCCCAAAAGTCAAAAACAAAGGATCCTAAAAGCAGCAAGATAAAAGCAAATAACATCTAAGGTCTGATACATCTAGCAATAGACTTCTCAGAGGAAACCTTACAGGCCTGGAGGGAATGGGAATGACATATCCAAAGTGCTAAAGGAAATAAAAGCTCCAACTAAGGAAACTGTACCCAGCATAGCTATTTTTCAGACACAAAGGAGAAATAAAAACTTTCCCAGACGAACAAAACCTGAGGGAATTAATCATCACCATACCTGTCTTATAAGAAATGTTAAAGGGAGTTTTCCAACTGAAAAAAAGGATGCTATCATGCAGCAAGAAATCACCTAAAGGTAGAAAAGTCACTGGTAAAAGTTAAGTACACAGAATTATCTAATACTGCCAATGCAGTGTGTAAGCCATGCATATATTTAGTATAAAGACCAAGAGGCAAATCTATAAGAAATAATAACTACACAGGTTTGTTAAGAGATAGGAATTATAAGAAGATATATAGACACAACAAAAAGTCAAAAACTAGGGGGATGGAGTTAAACTGTGGAGTATTTTAATTTTTCTTTGCTTCTGTCTTTTCTTCTTTGGGATCAAAGTTAAGTTGTCATCAGTTTAAAATAACTTGTTACAATTCTGATATGTTTGTTTCAACCATTATTATAACCACAAAGCAAAAGTCTAACAGACACACTAAAAAGTAAAAATGAATTAAAACATACTGCCAGAGAAAATCATTTATCCACAAAGCCAGTAAGAAAGAAAGAGAAGGTTTACAAAACTGGAAAACAACTAGCAAAATGGCATTAGTAAGTCCTTACCTGTCAATAATGACACTGAATATAAATTGACTACATTCTCCAGTTAAAAGACATGAAGTAGCTGAATAAAGAAATAAGACACAACTATGTGCTCTCTACAAGAAACTCACTTTTTACCTATAAAGACATGTGGACTGAAAGTAAAAATGGATGAAAAATAAATAAGTAAAGATGGAAAAAGATATTTTGTGCAAATTGAAACCAAAAAAGAACAAAAGTAGCTATATTTAAAGTACATTTCAAGTCAAAAACTGTAAGAAGAGACAAAGGTCATTATATAATGATTAAAAAGTCACTTCAGCAAGAGAATATAACAACTGTATTTAATTGTATTAAATATATATGCAACCAATTGTATTATATATGCAACCAAAATTAAAGCACTTGTTATGGTTTAAACTTGTGTCCTCACACAAATCTCATGTGCAATTGTAATCCCAGTGTTGGAGGTGGAACCTGGTGGGAGGTGATTAGATCACGGGGTTGGAGTTCTTATGAATGGTTTAGTGACATCACCTTTGGTACTGTATAGCCAGTGAGTTCTCATGAGATCTGAATGTTTAAAAGTGTGTGTTACCTCCTTCATTTTTTTCTCTCTTCCTTCTGTTCTGGCCACATAAGATGTGCTCGTTTCCCTTTGCCTTCTGCCACGATTGTAAGTTTCCTGAGGCCTCCCCAGCCATGCTTCCTGCAGAGGCTGCAGAACCATTAGCCAATTAAGCCTCTTTTCTTTATAACCCACTCAGTCTCAGGTATTTCTTTATAGCAATGCAAGAACAGACTAATACATCACCCAGACATTTAAAGCGAGTATTAAAGACAGACTACAATACAATGATAGCAGAGGACTTCAACAACCCAGTTTCAGCAATGGACAGATCATCCAGTCAGAAAATCAGCAAAGAAATATTGGAATTAAGCTACATGCTAGGCTAAATCAACTTAACTGATATTTATAGAACATTTCACCAAATAGATGCAGAAAACATATTCTTCTCATCAGCACATGGAACATTCTCCAGGATCGACTATAAGTTAGGCCGCAAAACAAGTCTTAACAAATTCAGAAATATCAAAATCATATCAAGTTTTTTTTTTGACTAAAGTAGAATAATACTCTAAATCAATAACAAGAAGAACTTTGGAAACTATAAAAATACATGAAAATTAAACAACTTGTTCTTGAACCATTAATGGGTCAACAAAGAAATTAAGAAGAAAATTTAAAATTTTATTGAAACAAATAAAAATGGAAAGAAAACAAACCAAAACCTGTGGAATACAGCAAAAGCAGTACTAAGTGGGAAGTTTTTCATTATAAATGACTACATCATAAAGTAGGAAGACTTCAAATAAACAATTAATGGCACACCTTAAAGAGCTAAACCTAAACCAACCTAAAATTAGTAGAAGACAAGAAATAATGTCAAAACAGAAATAAATAAAATTGAGACTAAAAAATAGATCAACAAAATAAGTTGGGTTTTTGAAAAGAAAGAAAATTTGGAAAGTTTTAGCCAGACTAAGAAGAAAAAGAGAAGAACTAATAAAATTGGAGACAAAAAGAAGACAACTGATAGCACAGAAATGCAAAGAACCGTTATAGACTGTGACGAGCATCTATATGCCAATAAGTTAGAAAACATAATAGAAATGGATAAATTTAGTCTAGACACATACAACCTATGAAGGTTGTTCCATAAACAAATAGAAAACCTGCACAGACCAATAATGAGTAATGAAATAGAAGTAGTAATAAAAAGTCTCCCATCAAAGAAAAGGTGAGGAACTGATGGCTTCCCTGTTGAATTCTATGAAACATTTAAAGAAAAAACAATACCGATCCTACTCAACCTCTTCAAAACACTGAAGAGGAAGGAATACTTCCAAACTCGTTCTAGATGGCTATTATTACCCTGATACCAAAAACCAGACAGAGACTCGACAACAACAAAAACTACAGGCCAATATCCCTGATCAACATAGATGCAAAACTCCTCAAAAAACTAACAAACCAACTTTACCAACACATTAAAAAGATCATTAAGGCCAGGCTCAGTGGCTCACACCTGTAATCCTAGCACTTTGGGAGGCCAAGGCAGGTGGATCACGAGGTCAGGAGATCGAGACCATCCTGGCTAACACAGTGAAACTCTGTCTCTACTAGAAAAACAAAAACTTAGCCGGGCGTGGTGGCGGATGCCTACAGTCCCAGCTACTCAGGAAGCTGAGACAGGAGAATGGCGTGAACCTGGGAGGCGGAGTTTACACTGAGCCGAGATCGCGCCACTGCACTCCAGCCTGGGCGATAGAGCGAGACTCCGTCTCACAAAAAAAAAAAAAAAAAAAAAAAAAAAAAAAAAAAAAGATCATTAACACAACTAAATGAGATTCATCTCAGGGACAGAATGACGTTTCAACATACACAATTCAATCAACATAATACATCACATAATAGAATGAAGGATACATCACATAACAGAATGAAGGACAAAAATCATTTCAATCAATGTTGGAAAAACATAAAATTTAACATCCTTTCATAAAATTACTTGCAGCAAACTGGGTATAAAGGAAACATACCTCAACTTGACAAAAGTCATATAAAACAAACCCACGGTTCATGTCATACTGAATGGGGAAAGGCTGAAGGCATTTCCTCTAAGATCTGGAACAAGACAAGGATGCCCACTTTTACCACTTTTATTCAACATGGTACCAGAAGTCCTAGCCAGGGCAATTAGACAGGAAAAAGAAATAAAGGGCATTTAAACTGGAAAGGAAGAATTTAAGTTGTCCTTGTTTGTGTCTTTATATTTAGAGAAACTTAAAGACTTTACCAAAAAAACTGGTAGAACTGATAAATTAATTCAGTAAATTTGCAGGATACAAGAATCATTAGCATTTCTATACGCCAACAGTGAAGGATGTGGAAAAGAAATCAAGAAAGCAATCCTTTTTACGATAGCCACAAAAAATACCTAGAAATAAACTTGACTAAAGTTTTTATCTCTACAATAAAAACTACTAAACACTGATGAAAGAAATTGAAGAAAATGCACAAAAAAGAAAGATATCTCATGTTATGGATTAGAAGAATTAATACTATTTAAATGTTCATACTACTCAAAGCAACCTACAGATTCAATGCAATCCCTGTCACATACCAATGACATTCTTCACGGAAATAGAAAAAACAATCCTAAAATTCACGTGGAACCAGAAAAGACCCCAAATAGCCAAAGCAATCCTGAGCAAAAAGAACAAAGCAGGAAACATCACAATACTATACTTTGAAATATACTACAAATCTATGGTAACCAAAACATAGCACTGGCATAAAAACAGACATATAGACCAATAAAACAGAATAGAGAACCCATAAATAATTCCTTGCATTTACAGCCAAGTCATTTTTGACAAAGTTGTTAAAAATATACATTAAGGAAAGGACAGTATTTTCTATAAACGGTGCTGAGAAAACTGGATATCCATATGCAGAACAATAAGATTAGATTCCTATCTCACCAATTACAAAATTGACAAATGGGATCATATCAAGCTAAAAAGCTTCTGTACAGCAAAGGAAGCAACCAACAGAGTGAAGAAACCACCTACAGAATTAGGTTGAATTAGAAGAATTAGGCCCCATCTCCCACCATATACAAAATTAGTAAAGAATATTTGCAAACTATCCAAAAATGGACTACTAATCAGAATATATAAGTAACTCAAAACTCAATAGCAAAAACAAAAAAACAAAAAAAAAACAACAACAAAAAAAACCTTCCAAATAATCTGATTAAAAATGGGCAAAAGACCTTAACAGGCATTTCTCAAAAGAAGACAAATGGCCAACAGGTATATGAAAAAATGCTCAACATCATCAAGGAAATCAAAATCAAAATCAGATACCATCTCACCCCAGTTAAAATGTGTTATCAAAATAGATAAAATAAATGCTACCAAAGATGTAGAGAAAGGGGAACATTTGCACACTGTTAGTGGGAATGTAAATTAGCACAGCCACTATGAAAAATAATATAGAGGCTCCTCCAAAACTAAAAATATAACTACCATATGATCTAGCAATCCTATTGCTGGGTATATATCCAAAAGAATGGAAATCAGTATATTGAAGAGATATCTAAACAACCCCCTCTTTATTTTTGCAGCGCTATTCACAATAGTCAAGATATGGAATCAACCTAAGGGTCCATCGATGGATTAATGGATAAAAAGAAAATGTGGTGTATATACATAGGCAATGGAATATTATTCATCCATAAAGAAAAGAATGAAATCCTATCATTTACAGTGACATGGACTGAACTGGAGGACATTATGTTAAGTGAAATAAGCCAGGCACAGAGAGACAAATATCACATGTTCTTACTCATAACTGGGAGCTAAAAACATAGATCTCATAAAAGTAGTGGATAGACTGGTGGCTACCTCTGGTAGCTAAAAGGTTTGTGAGGGCAGGGGATAGAAGGAATACTACCTAGTGTTTGATAGCACAGTAGGGTGACTATAGTCAATAATAACAACTTATTGACTATTTAAAAATAGCAAAGAAAATTTGGAATGTTTCCAACACACAGAAATGATAAATGTTTAAGATAATGGATACTTCAGTTTCCTGGATTTAATCATTACACATTGTATGCTTGTATCAAAATACCACATGTACCCCATAAATGTGTGTAACTCTTATGTATCCAAAAAAAGCAAATATTTTAAAAAACACAAGTCTCCTACTACATAGTGAAGGGCAAAGAAAATCAGCTTTAGTCAGACTTCTGAGACAATCCTAAGTAGCTGAGATTTGAGCTTCTTTGTTACTTCCAAGAAAAATGTTAAGTTTCCTTTTCCCACCATAATTTTTAAGCCCCACCTATTCTATCTTCTAGCCATCACTTCTTTTGTTTAACAAATAGAACAAATAGTTCACCACATAGTTGCTGTACACAGCGGGAGGAGATTGTCTAGGGAAAGACGGAAGAAGAAAGCAAAATGAATGAAGGCTGGTAAGGATTACAGGAGTAAATGGATACTTATCTCTATCAGTCAGGATTAGCGAGGTCCTGTGATGGTAGCAAATTATCCCAGAGTCTCAATATCAGTACAACAAAGCCTGATAAGTCAGGAAGCTCCTCCTGGTATAAGAAGCTCTTCCGGCCGGGTGCGGTGGCTCAAGCCTGTAATCCCAGCACTTTGGGAGGCCGAGGCGGGCAGATCACAAGGTCAGGAGATCGAGACCATCCTGGCTAACACGGTGAAACCCCTTCTCTACTAAAAACACACACACACAAAATAAGCTGGGCGTGGTGGCGGGCACCTGTAGTCCCAGCTACTCGGGAGGCTGAGGCAGGAGAATGGCGTGAACCCGGAAGGTGGAGCTTGCAGTGAGCCGAGATGGTGCCACTGCACTCCAGCCTGGGCGACAGAGCGAGACTCCGTCTCAGAAAAAAAAAAAAAAAAAGCTCTTCCAAAGCCGTTGCTCAAAGAGCCAGACAGCCACCATCTTGTAACTCTGCCATCTTATTAGGCGATCCCAACAATCATCCAAACAAAGGAAGAAAGAATGGAGAGCAGGGATCCCCAACCCCTGAGCTGCAGGCCAGTACCGGTCTGTGGCCTGTTAGGAACTGGGCTGCACAGCAGGAGGTGAGCAAGCGAGCCATCAAGCATTACCACCTGAACTCCACCTCCTGTCAGATCAGCAGGAACATTGGATTCTCCTGGAGCGTGAACCCTATTGTGAACTGCACACATGCGCCGAATCTAGGTTGCATGCTCCTTATGAGCATCTAATGCTTGATGATCTGAAGTGGAACATCAAGTTTCATCGTGAAACCATTACTGTGGAAAACTTGCCTTCCTTGAAACCAGTCCCTGGTATCAAAAAGTTTGGGGATTGCTGATATAGAGGACTCGTTCTTGCTTATTTTTTCCACTGGACTAAAAGTGAAAAACCCCAGTGTGGGTAGCCTGTTCACCAGAAATAGTCACGTCGCCCTGGTCTAACTGCAAGAGAATGGAGGGAGTACAGTATTCCTGTGTGTTTAAGAAGTGGAAAATAAAACAGAATTTGGAGAACACTTAATATTGCCTCTTCTATGTGACATGAAAGTGAGAAAATTATGTGATTAAACATAATAGCCTGAAAAGCTAAAGAAACAGAATGCCTAAAACATCAATATTGCATATATATTATAAGAGAAAGATAAAAGTCTGAGAATAAATCACTAGCCAAAAAAATGCTCAAATATATGAGACCAATTTGTTTTTTGTTACTTGTAACACTGCCCATAATAGGGAAAATCAGGAGAAAAACTGTTTACAGCTAAACAAATTAAGGCATATCCATGCCACAGAATATCACCAAGAAATTTAGAAGAATGAGTTACATCTATATACAAAATTTACTGTATGCCAACAAATTCAATATTCTAGATGAAATGGACAAATTCTGAGAATGACACAAACTACCAAAACTGACCTAATTTTTTTTTCCAATGAGGAGGCCTAGAACAAGTAAGGTGATTGAATTCGTAATCAAAAAACTTCTCACAAATAAAATTTCAGGACCAGTTGTCATCAGTGAATTCTACCAAAGGCTTAAAGAAGAATTTATACCAATCTTTCACAAACTCTTCTGAAAAAATAAAGAGCCCATAAGCAAATCTGAAGGGGAGGAAACACTTCCCAACTCATTCCATGATGTCAGTATTACCCTGCTATCAAAATCAGATGCAGACATCACAAGGGAAAAAAAAAACACTACAGGCCAATATATTTTATGACTGTAGATCTTCAACAAAATGCTAGCAAACCAAATACAGCAGCATTTACAATGAATTGTACGCAATGACCATGTTCGTTTTATCCCAAGAACTCGTAATTGTTTCAACATACGAAAACCCATCAAGGTAATATCTTATATGAATACAATAAATAACAAAAAATACATTTTTATCTCAATGAATGCAAGAAAATCATGTGACAAAATGTAACACATTTCTGTGATAAAAACCCTTAACAAACTAGGAATATAAAATAACTTCCTCAATCAGATAAAGCATATTTATGATAAACCTACCTACATGCTCCCTATGGTCAGGAGCAAAACGAGGATGTCTGTTCTTGCTACTTTTATCTAATATTGTAAGTGAGGTCCTAGTCAGGGCATTTAAGCAAGACTATAAAACACAGATATATAGATTAGGAAGAAAAGAGTAAAACAATCTCTATGACTTTTTTTTTCTATTTAAAAATCTCAAGGATTTCACAAAAACAGAACAAAAGAAAACAAAAACAGCTAAAAACAAGTTGTACAAGGGTGCAATATACAAAATTAACACACCAAAGCCAATTGTATTTCTATACACTGGTAATGAACAATCTGAAAATAAAATTAAGAAAACAATTTCATTTACAATAGTGTCAAAGAGAATATATTAATAATATAATTTTAAAAGTGTAAGAAGTGTAAGACTTACGCACCAAATACTGTAAAACATCATTGAAAGTAGCAAACTAACAAAGACTAAATAAATTTTAAAAACCTTATGTTCATAGAATGAAAGAATATTGTTAAGATGGCAATACTCAAATTGATCTACACATTCAACACAATTCCTATCAAAATCCCAGCTGATTTATTTCCAGAAAGTTGCAAGCCGATTCTAAAATTATCTCACGCCTTCTGCCAAAGTTAAATCAGAATGGATGAAAAATCTAAAAGCAATAGCTTAGACTCTAAACTCTTATGAGAAAAGATATGCACAAATCTTCATGACCTTGAGTTAGGCAATGGTTTCTTACATATAATATCAAAAGTACAAGTAAAAACAAAAAATGTTAGACTTCACTAAACAATGTAAAAATGTACATCAAAGGACATTATCAAGAAAGTGAAAAGACAACCTCTTTGCAAGTTGTATACCAGATAAGGATCTAGTATCCAGAATAAAGAACTCTTATAACTCAACAACAAAACGGACAAAGGGTGTGAAGAGACATTTCTCCGATGATGATACACACATTCCCATAAGCACATGAACAGATGCTCAACATCATTATTCCAAATGTAAACCAAAACCACAATGAGGTGCTGCTTCACCCCCACTAGAGGCTATTATCAGAAAAACAGACAATAACAAGGATGTGTGGTTATCTTCCAGTATATCTGATGGGACTGTAAAATGGTGTAGCCACATTGAGAAACAGTATGGCAGTTTCTTAAAGCTAGTGTTACCATGCCTGAAACCGGGTTCTACAATGTGACCCAACAATTCCAATCCTAGGCACATATGCAAGAGAGATGAAAACAAATGTACATAAAATGTATCCATATCAACACTTGTACATGAATAGTCATAGCAGCATTATTCATAATACCTAAAAAGTAGAAACAACACAAATGTCCATTAATTGTAAATGGATAAACAAAATTTGGTATATATACACAATGGTGTATTATTCAGCCATAAAAATGAATGAATTACTGATATATGCTACAACGTGGATAGGCCTTGAACACATGCTATGTGAGAAAAGGCAGATGCCAAAGGCCACAGATTCTACTCATGTAAAATGCCAATAGCAAGCGAATTCTTACACGCAGAATTAGATTAGTGTTTACCTGAGGTTTGGGGAAGGGAAGAATAATAAAGAAGTTTCCTTGTTTGTTTTTGGTTGATGACAATGTTCTGTAATTAGTATTATTGATGGCTGCACAACTTTGTGAAAGTGCTGAAACCCACTGAGTGTTTAACTTAAGAGTAAATTTTATGGTACCTGAAAAATAATTATGGCATACAAAAATGCATAAGAAAAAAATTATCAAGTGATACTGTCAATGGAGAAAATAAGGTTGTAGGATAAAATAGAATATAGGCCCATCTATTTAAAATGTTTGCTTATCCATGTACACATTTATGTGTGAAAATGCTTAAGAACTAAAGTGATGTATGTTGAACTCTTAACAGTAGCTACTTCTGAAGAAGGGTACAGTATTGGGAAGATTTTTAAGGGAAGACTGTATATATTTTGTTTTCTTTGAATGTTATATAAGGAACATATGTTCATATGTTATATAAAAACTAAATTAAAAGAAAATTAATAAAGTTAGATGTTATGAAATATAAACACTATCTCACCCCACTTTCAATGCCCAGTTCCATTCTCCCCATTTTATAAAATCTTCCCTACTCCATCATATACTGATTTGTTTTATCTGTACTCTTAAAACTCCTGCCCTTTATACACTACATAATTCAGTGCCTTATCATACATTTGACTAAACCGATTACATGAGAGAACCCTTGATAAACTGTAAAACATAATATAAATGCCATGCCAATACCAATATGTTGGGCAATGTCTTTTGGAATTGTCAGTGTGAAATTAAGAACAGCAAAGCTAAAAATGGAGGCCAAGGTCAAAAGTTAGAAAAATTATGGGCAAGCTGCCAAACCTAAGTCCTTAAAATAATAGTGATGTCACAGGTCAAATGGAAGTTTTATATTCTGGGTTGACATAAAGACAGACTTCAAATATAATAATTTCTGGGCAAATCTAAGCAAACAGTGTTTGATAAGAAAGTAAGCAATTACAACAGGTCCAGAATTCTCATAGAAAAACAGTAACAAAAAAACAAGACATAGTTGGAAAGGTACATCCCAAAATAGTCTTAAAGGCAAAGTTCTTGTACATGGCATAGTTTTTATTTTTGCACTATTATTTCATATGTTACCCTCAATTTCCCAATTACATTGCAAGACTGCAATTTACCAAGATTTGTTGGATTTAGGAAAAATGCTTGTATTTATCATGCAGCCTCTATATCATTAGATTACATACCTGATTAATTTTATTGATTTAACTGAAAGGTACTGACCAGTTACAGTGGGGTTGAAAAATAAAAATTAATTTTCCAAAAATATTAAGTCTGTTCCAACTAAACCCAAAGTAAATACTGAATGGTCATGATCACCTAATAAAACATGTGGTGCCTATTTCACAGGGATCATGATAAATCTGACATGGAAAATAAAGTAGAAGAGGGAGTTTGTCGATGCTTGATTTTATCTGACTGTCCCAAACAGCCCAAGTGTCTGACTGAATTTTTAAAATTAATCCTTCTTTCTAACTTTCACTAATGGTATTATGATTATTATTAATGTTCTACTAATAGCAGATAATGTGTATTGAGGGTGTACCTTGTACTGGGCCCTGAGCTGAACATTTTTATATAGAGTATCTCATTTAATACACCACTGCTATAAAGTAGTAACTATAATCACATATATTGGACAGATGAGAAAGCTGAGGTTGACTGAGTATAAACAACTTGACCATGACCACACAGCTAGTAAGTGATAACGATGTGACTCCATTTTGAGCCTAACTCTCAAATTTATGTTCTTTACTCAAATACTACTCTAGCTATACAATACTTAATATCCGAACATCACTCAGGATCCTGGGTTCCCATCCTATCCTGCCATGGTCATCTTCTCCTTCAGGACCTCAAAGGAAGTAATTGTCTAGAGCACAAGGGCAATTAGGGCTTCAGCCTTCAACCCCAATAAAATAACTAGTGAATTAGTCTAGATTCTGCCAGTGACTCTCTTTGAGGAGGCAAATGCTGGGCAAAGTGGCCTCCTTTTGCCTTTTGTCCTGGGCCCACCATCCACTTACTCTGCCAGTGCTGAAGGAGTGTGAGTCTAGAAGAAATGGCCAATCCAAGAGCAAGACGGAGTTTGTGCTTAACACAGAAAGTATCCATTTTTTTAATTTGGCAAAATAACCCGGCACAAAAAATGCCAACATCAACCTATCAAGGGAAATTCTGCAAATAATCTACTTCTATGATGACAGTGGATTTGATTAGATGATAAGAGGAAACTTCCAGCGCTAAGGAGAATGAAAGCAATTTTATCCAAAATATGAGGGTTCTAGAAAGTTATTTCCAGTGCCTCCATTATCCTGACAGGCAGAAATACACACTTTTAATTTGCCTGGAACTGATGACAACAGGAATGAATTAAATATGTAATCAATCATACTGTTAAATGGAAAAACAATAGGTTTCTGCTTACACATAGCTTGAGAGAGAGATCCAGAAGGTATAACATTCATCTGAGTGCAAAACCCACATTAGAGAGAAACTCTACTTTACCTTTATGATTAATAAGGAAAAGATTTTCAAGACACCAATTTTTTGTTTTTGTAAAGTGACATAATATGGAAATAAAAAAGAAAAAGATAGAAATTAGGTTACTCCTGAGAAATCAGTGTTTATAGGGCTAAAAATCAGAAACAATGCCAAACAAAGAAAAAAAAGAATTCACATAAATCAGAAAGGAAATATGACTGTTAATGAAAATGAACACACAAACAAACCTCCAATGCACAAAGCAATGAATCCCTCACTATCCCATATTTCAAATGAACCACTAGAGAGGGAAAAAATTGATAGCAACACTTGCAGCTGAAATAACTCTTGCAGTGATAAATTCTCCTCTTTCTTCATGTTGCATTTTTCCCATGATGTTCCTCTTGGTATTCGGCAACTCTTTTAAAAGAAGATACTTGCAAGCACTGACCTCACCTTTGACTATTTGTCTGTCTCCACAGTTCTTCGCAGATATTACTGAGCATCACCATAGATGTCCTTCTTCACCTCTTTATCCACAACTGAAGTATAGCCACCTCAAAGCCTCCAGAGGTGCACACCTTAGATCCATCAGCACAAATCTGCAAAAGCCATTTCTCACTGAGTGGATGATGATGCGATGTATTTGTCTTCTATCACCATCTCTCTGATTATTTTCAAAGATATAGCTACATATTATTAGTAATCTAGTTAGCACTAGTAGAAGCAGCAGCAGTAGCAAACATCCTATATACCCTCCTAACCCCACCTCATTCTTGTGAGATGTTGCTACTATTTGAATCATTATCCCATTTGTAACTTAACCTCAAATAGGAGATTATGGGTTTCTTTTTCTTTCTTTTTTTCTTTTTCCCAATGGGGCTAAAGCCAGCAGGGAATCTTCATTAAAATTCACCGTAAGGCCTATTTGTTTGCCATTTCCCTTCCCCCAAGTCACATATTCCTCCCACCCTGCTGTGAACTGCGCAGAGCAGAGGAATGACCCGTGGAATCTCATGGTCCTGTGGAGGTGCCAAATTAAGCTGCTCATGTTTGCTAAGTAAAGATGACATATATTTACTGTCTCTGGACACCCCTCCAAATAGTGGTATATTCACAACTTTATTTTATTCTGTATTTTAGGAAAGAACATCGCTTTCCTCATGAACAGGTGCAAATACTGCTGACATTTAGAACACTCCTCAAAGGTAGGGACTAAGGATCTAGGCTTGCATGGTGTGAGTTCTTACTGGAGACCAATATCAGGGCATTCTTGGGTGGTTATTATTATCGTTTGGTTATTGCATTCTTCCTCTCTGTCCTGATTAGACATAACTATGCCAGAGTCATACTTCATATTCATCTATAGGAACATCTGGCTCATGTCTAACATTTAATTTCCACACCATTAGAGTCAAACAATACATGTACATCAATAGATAATGTAATGCATTATCATGCAAGGCAGAGAGTAGCAATTTATTAGCCTAATTTAAAATAGCCTTCAGCAAAAAATAGTGCATCTTAATTCAGAGTTTTGAATGGAATGACATGTTTTCAAGTAAAATTCAAAGGTATATACTCAGACATGATTTGGAAGAAGTTTCCTACATATATTATCTTCTGCATTATTCAAGGAGGGAAGATCAATTCTGTTTTTTTATGTTCCAAACAAATCTAATCCATAATAATACAAAAAACAAAGATAGCCCTGGGAGAAAATAAGAAAAGGAATTCCTTGGAACATAACTTAGAAATCACAACTTCAATGTACAGGCTGCTAAGAATCTCTTTGCACATGCTTAAAATCACAGAAAATGTTTTGCTTTGAATGTAGCATGAATTTTGTCTCTATTTCCTAAGACATTTCATTACTATTTTAGGTTTATAGACAATGAATATGTAGAGTGTTAGTTTGTCTTTGTAGGAGAATATTATAACTTCTATAAGAATTTAAGCGATGTAATCTTAGAAATTAGCTTAAGCTATGCAGCTTGCACAAATCATTATAATTATTAAAAACAAATATTCAAATATCTTCTCAGTTCTTATTAATGAAAACCAACCTCTGCTATTCTAACACGTATATTTGATATAGGAAGATGCCCAGTGCTTGTTAACACTGACAAAAACCTTCTCCACTCCCTTAAATAATATAATGGAAATAATAGTATATATTTAGTGCATATATATAGTACAAATTCTAAATTCTGTGACACTCACCAAAGCATAGTCATAAAGCACATTGGATATGACAATTCAGCCTTAGAAGTGATGGAGAAAATTTGTCATCTTGAGGTCTTCAATAGTACTTAAGCTGCTGTTGAGACTTCTCTCAGCAATGATATGCAAGTCCATGGCCAAGCCCTGTGGTAAATGCAAATTATGTAATTTTTATGACCTCTCAGATTAATGGAAGAAGTAAGGGATGCACATACAGAACCAGAATACATAGTATAAAGTGCTAAATGCAGTAAGAAAGTTGGAAAAAATGCTTCGGGAGATAAGGGAGAGAGGAACTGTTTCTGGCTGTGGGAAACAGAAAAGCTTCAAAAAAGGAATTAGCTTTGTGTTGGAACTTGGAGGACAGACTACATACTGGAGATGTTCAGTGATACAGCCCAGAAGGCAAGGTCCTGGTTTCTAAAGGGAGTCACTGAAGCAGTATGTTACAGTGTACCGGAATTAATTCGGATCATCCTGACCCCATGTCCCCACATCCTACTACTAATTTTTCTCCTGATAGTACTAATCCTTAGCTTGAATTCACCAATTGGGTTAGAAATATTTGCTCCAGTTCAGTTCTTGAGATCTTATATCTGAAACCTATATAGTGATTAACATTTTGTTCCCCTCTATGATACTCTGTCATTGTATGTGATTAATTTGGTTTGGTATTGCTACCACCTGTGCTGTGACCACCCAGGGTGTTAAAATTTTGTACTAATCCCTGACTGCTTGAACTAATTCCAGTGAACTTCAACCTTTTACAAGTCAATTCCCAAAATATGTTGTTACCATTGATAGTCTTCAAATGAGTTTGTGGCTCCCATTGGCATAACTTTATCCCAAAAGCCTTGAGCTTATCATATATCTAGTAATTTTGTCAGCAATCTCAAATACCTATTTACATGTGCCATACCTTATACCCAGTCTGTGGCACAGGAGCAGATATACAAATTAGGTCTTCCAGTCTTCCAAAGTTTTCTAAAACTGGGCATGTATTGTGACCTTGAGTTTCATCTTTCTGATATATGTTATAATAAATGTAATAAAATAAATTAAAAATAAGGGTAAAACTTAGAAATTCACCTTCCCAATCTCCATTCCTCAGCCTCAGTCTCATTTCCCAGAGACAATTACATTTAAATATTTCTAATTTTAGTTCTAGTGTTTGTCACTATAAGTACTGGGCTTTAGATAGCTTATGCACACTCCATTCTACAAAGGAGGAATTTAGTTCCCTTACTAGAGTCTTCTTCTGTTTTCATTCTGATTTACAGTATTTTCAGTTTTTCAAGTGATTGCCTTCATAATTTTAAATGATACTACTCCTTCAATTTGAGATTTCAACATTGAAAATCATAAAAGATTCTTTCTTCTGCTGAATAATATTGAGTGTCCACATTGACAAAATGCTGCACTAGGTTCTAGCAATAAAATGAGTAAAAACAGACATAAACCCTGCCATAGTGAAAATCACCACTTAATGAAAAGGGTGATCAATAATAACAAAACAAAATAAATTATAATAAGTGTGGCCCAAAATAAAATCATTATGAGATAAGTTATGAGAATTTATATTAAGGAGGTCAGGGATAGTTTCTCGGAAGAGACCACCCTTGATAAGAAATCTGACCAATGAGTAGGATTTATCTATGTGGAAAATTGTAACAAAGGCTTTCTAAGCAGAGGAACAGCTTGTGCAAAGACCCTGTGGCAGAGAAGTAATGGTGAGTGTCAGTGGGACTCAAATGGAGAAAGTTAAGAACTGCAGAGATATAAGAAAGAAAAGATAAATATCGACTGGCCATTTGAAGCTTTGCAGGGTTTATAAAGGAGTTTTGCCTTTATCCTAAGATCAAGGGAAAGTCACTTAATTCTGATCAAATCATGATCAGAATAAGGCTTCTGAAAGTTCACCCTGGTTACAGCTTAGTGGATGTAAAGAAATAAGCTGGAGTCTTACTTCTTTCCCTATAGATCTTACTTCTCAGTCTTAACATTGCTTTCAAATTGCCAATAATTTTCTTATTTTTATTAGCTTATAACTATATATGAGCCTTCAATATTTCCTCTGCAAATTGAGTGTAAATGTTAAAAACAATAAAAACATCTACTACCCTATGTCCTAGCAATCCCATTCCTAGGTATTTGCCCAGACACAAATGAGTGCACACATCCACCAAAATATTGTGGAAGGATGTCCATAACAGATTCATTTATTACAACCAAGAACCAAAACCAAGTCCAATGTCCAACAACAAAAATGGCTAAATTATATCATGTAAAGAAATATTACACAGCAATGAAAAGAAAATGAACTACTGGTAAACACAATGACAAGGATGACTCTCACAATGGCAGAAGTTAGACACAAAATAATACACACCATTGGATTACATTTAGATGAAGTTTAAGAACTGGCAAAACTAATGAATGGAGAAGGAAGTGTGAATGGTGATTACCATTTTGAGAATGGAAGGATGTGACAGGAAAGGCGCATAAAGACTACTTTTGGGTGCTGGAAATGTTATATATTTTCATCTTGGTAGTTATTACTTAGGTGTGTACATCTTTAAAACTTGATCAAACCTCATAAAGATTAGTGAACTTGACACTCATTTGACCACATATATTCTACCTCAGTAAAAAATGTAAAAAACAATAAACAGCATTTAAAATACTAAGATATTGCAAATATGTCATCCAGATCCAAGTGAGATATCTGGCACATATTCATATGTACCCCTGTAAGGAGATTATTTCAAGAGTGAAAGCCAAATTCATTCTTTAAAAAAATATTCTATCACTTTCTCAAAATCATGCCATATGGACAGTGAACTTTCACAGTCTACATGTCAGAAAATGTCTTTATTTCACTCTGACTTTATTAATTGTTTGGCTCCAAATCATTTTCTCTCAGAACATGGAGGGAGTTGTTACATTGTTTTCTAGAATATGGTGTTGTTAATGAAAAGTTTAAAGTTATTTTGATTTTTATAACTTTAAAAATTTTCTTTGAAAGCTGTAAGAAATTTTTTTTTACACACAGTGTTCTGAAGTTTCACCATAATTTATGTAGATACATTAAATTTCTATTACAGCTTAACAAATTACCACAAATTTAACTGTTTAAAATAATACTCATTTATTATATCACAGTTTGTGAAGGTCAGAAGTCCAGGAAAGGCCAGCTGAATCCATAGCACAGAGTCTCGCAAGGTTAAAATCAAGGTGTTTACTAAGCTGCATTCTCAAACGGCTAGGGAAGCATCGACTTCCGCACTTTCTCACGTTTTTGGCAGAATTCACTTCCTTGAAGCTGTAGAATTTATGGAAGCTTGCTTTTTCAAAGCCAGCCATAGAAAGAGAATCTCTTCTTCCCGTCTCTGAGCCCAAGAAGGCTTTTTAAAGGGCTTGCTTGATGAGGTCAGGCACACCTAGAAGAATCTCCCTTTCAATTAACTCAAAGTCAAACTGATTGGGGACATTAATTCTATCTGAAAACATCCCTTATCTTTGCCATGTAACGTAACCTAGTATGGGAATTGGGGACCCTCTCTATATTTAAGAAGAAGAGATGCCATAGGGCATGTACACAGTGGGTGGGATTCCTGGGAGGCATTTTAAAACACTGCCTACCACGTATTTTTCACACAATTCCTTTTCTTTTTCTTTTCTTTTTTTCTTTTTCTTTTTTTTTTTTTTTTTTTTGTTGTTGTTTTGTTTTTTTGGAGACTTGTTCTGTCACCAGGCTGGAGTGCAGTGGTACAATCTCAGCTCACTGCAACCTCCGCCTCCAGGGTTCAAGTGATTCTCCTACTTCAGCCTCCCAAGTAGCTGGGACTACAGGTGCCCGCCACCACGCTAGCTAATTTTTGAATTTTTAGTAGAGACGGGGTTTCACCATGTTGACCTGAATGGTCTCGATCTCTTGACCTCGTGATCTGCCTGCCTCGGCCTCCCAAAGGGCTGGGATTACAGGCAGGAGCCACTGCACCTAGCCCTTTTTGATACTTTCATAACCACAAAATTCTAAATAATACTGAGCTCAAATAATTGTTGAATAAAGAAATAAACAGATACTTTACAGCTCCTTTCAAATCTGAAGATGTGAATCTTTACTCTGCCCAAAGAAATTTTCCTGTTACATCTTCAAATATGTTTTACCTTTTTTCTGAACACTTTATTTTAATAAATATTATTCACAGCTCAATATTTTCACCCATTTTAAAAATTTCTTTGTCTTTTTCTTTACATTCTTATATATAAGGGTAGGGAGAGATATTTATGAATAGTTCATATCACCAACTTTAACAATTTGTGTCCAAGTTATTATTCAATTATCCTATTCAATGTTTTATTTTGACAATCTTATGCATTTCTAAGAACCGGTTCTGGTTCTTTTATCTTATTCAATTCTGGATATAATGGCTTCTCAAATCTCTCTGAGAATACTGAAATGATCATGTTTAAGTTTTCTTTTCTTCCTGATTACCTATTTCTTTACAGAATCAAGTTTCTTTTTATAAGGCCCCTTGTTGCTGCTTCTACACATGTATCTGGTGATTCTTGATTATCCACTCACAGTTGTTCATGAACCACTAAGTAATTTGGATATGGTGGATGAGTCTGTCTCCAATGTGCCATGCTGTTTCCATCTTTGTACTTGAGCTCATACTATGACTCCATCTGCATCTGTTAGGCCTTCTTAGTTCCAACATTCACAAATAGCTCCCATCTTTTGGTATTCACTTACAATGAATATCACACAGTACATGGTTTAGAAGGGTTCTTTATTTTATTTATTTTTTAGAGACAAGCTGGAGTGTCACCCAGGCTGGAGTACAGTGGACTGATCACAGCTCCCTGCAGCCTCAAACTCCCGGGCTCAAGTGATCGTCCCATCTCAGCTTCCCAAGTAGCTAGGACTACAAGTGTGTACCACCATACCTGGCTAATTTAAAAACAACAACAAAAACCCAAAACTTTTATAGACAGGGTCTTGCTATGTTGCCCAGGCTGGTCTTGAACTCATGTGCACTCAAGTGATCCTCCCGCCTTGGCCTCCCAAAGTGCTGGGATTACAGATGTGAACCACCATGGCTGGCTTCCAGTTTAGAACCTAATATCAGTTGAACTTATATTAGCAGGTAACTGATGTGGTTTGCCTCTGCAACTTGTGGTCTGTTTTTCTATTATTCTCCCTTGAAATAGTGGGATGACTGCAAGCTTTGTCTACATGGGTAAAGTGTGCATTGTAGCATGACTGACTTTAGTATGTATCAAAAGGGCCCAGTCAGTTTGTTTAGGGTCCAGCCAATATGGATGGACTTACTCTGGCATGTAGATGTCATCCATTACTCTGGGAACATATCATTTTCCCCTCTTGGTCAGATCTGTATTTCGTTTAAAATATCTTGTCTGTTGGAAGGTTTACATTAGACTCTGCTGTACTTTTTCATGTATCAGCACCTATATTTCTAGTTCTCCTCTGGCAGACTGTTGCATTTCCTTAATAGCAGCTCTCTGCTTGTATCACAGGATTAAAATGGCTGTGATTCACACGGGGAAGTGGGTCTGGGGTGCCAAGACATTAGTGGCTCAGTTGTTTCATAGACAGTATGTGAATTAATTCCTTGATAACTACCCTAGCCCATTTCTGCTCTCACTCCTTGGCAGTTCTGAGCATATGGACTTCCTCTTCTCTGCCAGAAAGAAGAGCTTCCACTCCTGTTGTGTCATTTGGCTCCGTTCTGGTGGTTTATTATTAATAAGATTCCATCTCCTTTCTATCTTTCAGGTGAATGCTAGATCAGAAAATGCTTACTAATTGAGAGTAGGACTTAACGCACAAGCAAAACTTATTATATCATGGTTCTTTTAATCAATATTTGACTATCTAGTTTGCAAACAATAATAAGTATTGTAGAAGATCAAAAGGAAGAAAAAAGTCCTTCATCCCAGGACTTTGGAATCTAGGAGGATTCAAATAATAATAATGAAGGAATAAGAACATTAAAAGACCCAAAAGAAATAAATGAGCATGTTATGAATCATACAGAATCACACTTTTGAACTGACTACTGCAGAAAACCCTGATATGTTTGAATCATGAATTAGGGCCACGCCAATGAGGAGCTACCACGACCTCATTCCCAAGCTGTATGTAGGATAAAGTTGCTAAATCTGAAGGGCTGGTAGCTCAAGAGGATAATGTCTAACAGCGATGAAGCTACTGCTGAAACAGGTGGAATGGAGTTTCAGGCTCTTCCCAGGTGCTTCCTTGGGCTTCTCTGTAAGCTATTATAAGCTAAGCAATTGAGGGTAAGACTTAAAGCACAAGCAAAACGTACTATATCACGGTTCTTTTAATAGAAAAACTATTAAAAGAAATACAATAAATATAATAAAAACTATTCACTCATAGCATATATATTTCCTCCTGATATCTAATTATGTCCTTACTCTCATTTCCCTTTCTTATTTAGCATGGATGTACAGACCTGGATTTGAGTCCTTCATTCATTACTCATTAACTGGTTAATCTTAGTTGAGTTCTTAAGCCTCCTTAACATCCCACTTATATAAAATAGGGTCAATAGTAGGACCTAATTAATAGGATTGTTTTGAGGAAAGTACACAGTACCTAACAAGTAATAAGAATTCAATAAATGCTAGTTACTTTTACTATTTAAGTTTTTGCCATATTTATTTATTTAATAGAAAAACTATTATCAGGAGTAAATATATAGTGCACCAGGGCACATTAGTTTTCTATTTTCTGTGCAATAAATTACCACAAACCTATCAAGTTAATACAGTACAAATTTATTATCTCACAGTTTCCATAGGTAAGAAGTCTGGACGTGGCAAGGCTGGTTTCTCTGCTCAGGGTCTCATAAGTCTGAAATGATGGTGTCAACCAGACTGAGTTCTTGGCTGGAGACTCTGGGGAAAAACTGACTTCTAAATTCATTATCGTTTTTGGCAGAATTCAGTTTCTTGCAGTTATAAAACTGAGGTCCTGGTTACTTTGCTAGCTGTCAGTGGGGGGCTGCTCTCAGCTCCTAGAGGCCACCCTTACCATATGGCCCCCTTTCTATTCCAGTTGTTGTGCCAAGTCAAATCCTGTCATGTTTCAAGTCTTTAACTTTGTCTTTGACCTCTAGACCCAGATTTAAGGGGCTCCTGTGATTAGGTTGGGCCCATCCAAATCATCTCCCTTTTGATTAACTTAGAGTCAACTCATTAGCATCCCAAATTACATCTGCAAGATCTTTTTTGCTGTGTAACTTAACAGAAGTGATGTCCTTTCATATCCAAGGGTTCCTCTTACAGTTAAAGGGAGGGAATTGTACAAGAATGGGTCCTTGAGAATCATTTTAGAATTATGACTACCACGCAGGGTCTCAGAAATTGCATTCCCCGTGACACCAACACTAAAGGAGGAGAAAAAAAAAACATCCCCTTCCCCTTCCTCCATTCATATCTACCCCCATTAATTTCATCCATGTGCAGCCAAACTCCTCTGAAAAAGAAAAGCAAGAAATTCTTTATTGTGTTGAGAGGATTCTGCCCTTGTGCTTTGTGTTGAGGTCTATTTTTACCAGGCTAAATGAGCACTATAAGGGACTTAAAGTAAGAAATGCTTTACTTTTTCTATTCTTAACCTGACAATCAACCTGAAAACCCTGATCCCCTACCAAGAAAAGGCAAACGAATCAAATTTACATTGACAAAGTATCTACAATAGGCATGGCACAAGCTTTACATATTTATATATAAGTTCACTTCTTTCTCAATAGCACGTCTGAATATTATCTCCATTTTATGGAAGACAAACCTAGGAGATAAAATAACCTGCTCAAGGCCACAGAAGTGAAGTAAAGAAGCTAGGACTGTCATCTAGGCTGAGGATTGTTAAATATATTAGTACAAGCCCTAGATGTCAGCTACTAAAAAAGACAACTATTTTTATTAGCAGATGTGAGACAGGCATGAGGATGTACAAGTTACTTTGCTTAGCATCATGAGCAAAGCTTCATTGACCTTCAAGGAAAGTGTCTAAAGATCTAAATTTAGTTCCAGGGCTTGACCTACTAAAGCAGTCATCATACTTGCAAAATTCTCATTCTCATTCTCATTCATCCACAGACCATAAGCCAGTGTCCCAACTAGGGACTTGAAGATGAGTCTACAGAGATGACCAGAGCGGTGCTGGGTGAACTTCATTTTCCTTTCCTAGTCAAGAAGGCTTAAGTAATAGTATGAGGAAATACCTGAAGACCCAAACCCTGGTAGAAAAGACACTGCTGTCATGGCAACATTCTAAGTATATTTTTATTTATTCTTTTTTTTTTACAGAAAAAAATATTTACAGTGGTTTACAGATTTTTTAAATATGACAAAATAACATAAATAGTAAAAGTAACTAGCATATATTGAATTCTTATTACTTTTTAGGTACTGTGTACTTTTCTCAAAACAATCCTATTAATTAGGTCCTACTATTGACCCTATTTTATATAAGTGGGATGTTAAAGAGGCTTAAGAACACAACTAAGAGGCTGGGCACAGTGGCTCACGCCTGTAATCCCAGCACATTGGGAGGCCGAGGTGGGCGGATCACGAGGTCAGGAGATCGAGACCATCCTGCCTAACGCGGTGAAACCCCGTCTCTACTAAAAATACAAAAACAAACAAACAAAATCAGCCAGGCATGGTGGTGGGCGCCTGTAGTCCCAGCTACTTGGGAGGCTGAGGCAGGAGAATGGCGTGAACCCGGGAGGCGGAGCTTGCAGTGAGCCGAGATCGTGCCACTGCACTCCAGCCTGGGCGACAGAGCGAGACTCTGTCTCAAAAAAAACAAAAACAAAAAAGGACCCCACTAAGATTAACCTAACCAGTTAATGAGTAATGAATAAAGGACTCAAATCCAGGCCTGTACATCTGGTAAACAAGAAAGGGAAATGAGAGTAAGGACATAATTAGATATCAGAAGTAAATATATATATGCTATGATATATGCTACGAATTACTATATACTTGCTAACGGAAGGAGACAAATTGGACTTAAAACTTTCAGATGGTACAAAGAAAGAAAACTGATAAATCACTAGCCTCAATGTCTATTTCTAGTGTTCCTAACATAAAATCTATTACTCAACTATGTATGACACTGTAAACATACTCAGTATGACAAGTGAAAACATTATTTTTGATTTTAGGTTTTTTTGTTTTTGTTTTTGTTTTTGAAATAGGGCTTGCTCTATTATCCAGGCTGGAGTTCAGTGGTGTGATCATGGCTCACTGTAGCCTTGTAGCCTCAATCTCCTGGGCTCAAGCAATCCACCCAACTCAGCCTCTTGAGTAGCTGGGACTACAGGCAGTATATACACCGCACCACACCAGGCTAAGTTCTAAGCTTTTATTTTTTATTTTTTATTTTTTTTGGAGAGACAGGGTCTCACTATGTTGTTCAGGCTGGTCTCAAACTTCTGGCATCAAGTGATCCTTCCACCTCAGCCTCCCAAAATGTTGAGATTACAGATACAAGCCACTACTCCTGGCTAAAAAACATTCCGTTTAGAATATTTGTGGAGAGCACCCTGCATTACTGTATGTATATCTAAGAGCTAATATTGCTGAACATTTATTCTGGGTCAGGCAGTTTATGTTTGTTTTATCCTTAATTCTTATCATCCTATGGTGTGAGTACTATTATTATTCTCATTTTACATATGAGCAAATTGAGACTTAGAGAGATGATATATAATAGGTCCAAGGTTACATAGCTAGTAAGTGGTAATGTCAAGATTAAATTCAAGTAGTCAGGTAGAACTTGTAATCACTATGCTATGTTGCCTCCAATTAGCAATTTATCAGTAGCCTTACAGTAGTTTATTGGTGCTATTTCTTATAGCATCACTAAATATACATATTAATCCAAAGTACAGGACAGTTAAGCAAAAAAGAAATTGCTGGGAGTCTGCCTACTCTGGAGTGTAGGCAGAGAAATATTCCATCAGTCCAGGGATAGATTTCAGAGCGCTTGGAGCATGAATTCTCAACATGGGCAATACCATCCAAAAGCAGATGATTATTTGTTCTTAGGAGGCCAGAAAATCTTAGATATTAAAATAGCTTGTAGACTTCTAAAAAGCCACAGTACATAAATATATATACCACTTATCTCTGATATTCAAGTTTCTCTAGGAGCAGGAAGGTGATAAGGAGAAAAATGTCTAAAAATGCTCCATAAGTGAGCAATTTGAAAAGCAAAAGGTTGAGAAATAACTGTTTAGAGAAATAGATGGACTGCATGTTCTTCAGATTATCTTCATAAATATTATTTCTCTCACCTGCAGATTTGATAGCTACAGAGTATCACCACATTCCAGACTGTCTACTCCGATAGGATCAAAAGTGAAGTTAGTCTGTTACCAGTTGAATACAAATAGTTATGCCCAAGCAGGTATCTGTGAAGGGATAGATTTGACATTTTAACTTGATAATTGAGTTGCCTAACAACTCAGTTATTAGGTCAGTGTTAGGACCCAAATGCCACTTTTGCTAGAAATCTGTAGATCATGCCAAGATTCTGCTTATAATGGATTCAAAATTACTTTATACCATGTAAATACATAAGTGGTCAAAGGTGCAAAATTTTATTCCAAATGTTCAGAATAATGTTAGTTTAAAAGTTTTCTGCTACTGGGAAGGGAACAAAAAGCCCTCATCTTATTTAAGGGACTAATAATACATACCTCTGAGTAAATTATCCCTCTCCCACTCACACAACTTTTGAATGTGCTTCTAAAAAACGTTTCACTTGTTCATGGAACATCTACCAAGGTAATGGCTTCAGATTTAGATTAATTAAATCATAGCTCTCTTTTCTGGCAAGAATCAGGTTGCAGTTTTGGTGGTCCATTAATTCCATCCCCAAAAGGATGATGGAGTAAGCTAATGCAGCTTTCTCCTATCTGGTCAGGGATTTTACCCTACTTATAAGTTAATAAGTAAGCCTGTTGCTGCTTCAGGAATGCTAGTAGAAGACACAAGACTCCTGAATCAGAGACAAAGGACTTTATTAATCATGGCAAAGCAAGCAACACAAGCACCAGCGTCTTTGCATCAGTTCCCCCTTGATCCCCATGTCCCATAGGGGTGAAACATAGAGTCCAGGTTGATGCAGTGGCTTTGTCTTACAGCCAAGGAACACTTAGATTGGAAACCTGCTGTTTTTATAGCAAGCAGTAAGCAAGCCTGCTCTTTGTTCCAGAGGAACACATTATCTTATCCCTCAAGGTTGCTTGCTACAAACACAACACTGAAAAATGACCAGGTAAGAGTCGTTAGAGACTTGAATTCTTTGCATATTCAGCAAGAAAACAGGAACAAAAGATACCCAAGGAGGAGTGTCTCCCAACATCTCTCCCCTGGAGTTCTCTTTACTCTGATTTCAATGAGTTGTGATTCTTCCAAAAAAATACTGTGGATACATTTTATTGTCATACTTAACTCCTTGTCCCACTACCTTTATTTCCTGTGGGCTTTTTCTGACTTAGGTAGAGGAATTTCCTGCAAAGTAAGCTGCCATAATTACCCACTTTACTATGGTCTTTATTAATTGTCTATATGTAAATTAAATTATTCACCTTATAAAAAGATGCTAGCAAATTTGAGAAAACAATCATCATCCATATTTGAGTTGCCTCAAAATTTAAAAGCCACTTTCTGAGGTCGAGGTAGGTGGATCACTTGAGCCCAGTTCTATACCAGCCTAGACAATATAGGGAGATCCTGTCTCTACAAAAAAATAACAAAAATTAGCCAACCGTAGTGTCACACACCTATGGTCCCAGCTACTTGGGAGGTTGAGGTGGGCATATCACCTGAGCCTGGGAGTTTGAGGCTGCAGTGAGCTATGACTGCACCATTGCACTCTGGCCTGGGTGACAGAGTGAGACCCTCTCTTAAAAAGAAAATTATAAGCACTGAAAGAATATATAAAAACATGTTTTCAGGAAGCTGGGCAACGTAAATTCTAAACTCTCAACTTGGGTTTCTTTGGTATGCTTAAGCATTAGTACCCATTATAAACTTACAGTTATTTCTAATTGTACTTACCCACACAGTCTTTTGGAAAATGACAGTGCTACTCAGTAGGAAGATAATATTTATTGATACTAAATTAATATGGTTGGAATAATCTTTTCATCAATATTACAATGCCCTCTTTTCCACAAATAGGACACATTATAAGAGCCCTATTTTCCTACAGAGCACTATCAATTCTTATATATTCAATTTTTAATTTAAATAGATTTATTAACAGTTTAAACATAAATGACTAGCAAAATAGTCAAAAGAATTAGTGTCTCTAGGAAACAAAGTAGAGGAAGAGGAATTTACAATAGATTTTATTTGACTCCATGCAACATCTCTGCAGCAGGGTATAAATATTTGAAGAGGTGTGTCTTGAGTCCAAACAAAAAAATAAAAAGGACTCTTGCATCCCAGGAGAATTTATATTTAAACTAAGCTATTTGTACTTGTTGCCCAAGACATATTTTAGCACAGTATTTTTGTGGATCTCATTTCTATAATGATTTATTTGCGCTTTGCCATGTGTAGTTAGGTTCTGGTGAAATCAGATGATCAAATATTGGCATCTTACTCAGTTTGTGTTTTATAGACATGGCCTTATGTACAAGTTTGCTTTTCATCTTTTTGCACTGGAAATTTTGTATTCTTTCCTTGATATGATAACTGCATTGAGCTCCTGTTTAGAAATAATCTGTGGTCAACAAACCAAGGATTTAAGTTCCAAAGCATATTAGACTCATAAAACTGGTATAGTCAAACACCTGAATCCCTTAGATTAAAAATATAAAGACAAAGAGAAGGCGCTTAAGTAAGTTAAAGCTGCCTTGGGGCACCAGCAAGTTATGGGTTGGCGGGTTTTATAAGACTACTTACCATGCCATTCAATTTAAAAAAAGAGAGCAGTTACCATGGCAACGCCACATCTAATGGTGCTTATGCTACCTCTGAGATACAAAATACCTTCTTCCAGGGACACATTGACCAACGCAGCCTGTTATGGGAAGTTTTTCATGCCTAATGTTAGCCTTAGAAGACAAAAACTGTATTTCAAGAATATGAGGAATATACAAACACACACAGAGATCTTAGTTTGCAACATTCAAATATCACAACACATTTTTAACTCATTTTCTTTCTTTTCCAACATTTTTAAGGATGAAGTTATTTTTCTAAACTTCAGGAAAATAAAATTCATTTAAGAGAAACATGTATAGTTTTGCTGATATATGGACATAGAAGTATTTTAAATTCTTCCATAACAGCTACCAAATATGTATAATTTTCTATTGGAATAACACTTTGAGCTCCTGACTATTAATACAGAAATTTGGATATTACTCGTGTTTCAGTAAATTATATATTAACTCCTGGCCAGAAAAATATGTTAAAGTCTTATTCATTTTTTAAAAAATTAAACCTCTTAAATGAAATAATTACTTAAGGAAGTAAAAAATAGTTTGGCTAAATAGTAAAGAATATGGCCTCTATTAATCTCACAAAAAGAAGTTAAATAAATATCAAAGAAAAATATGAATACATAATACAAACAAAACATTTTGGTGTAGAAGGTAATACCTTTTCTACATTATCTCTCAGATGAGTTTTAAGAAAGTGAGTGGGATGCAACCCATTCCAACTTTTTTCTAAACAATAGGTAAATATGCACCAATAAGTATTTTCTTATTCAATGGTGTTTTTATAGAGACCCATGTAAGGACTGTCTTAATGACTATCCAATACTGTGGGGTACTGCACTCAAATCCAGTGACCACAGCAGAAACAAATACCTAACAAAGGCAGAAGTTATATATCATATACCTTCTTTGTTTCATATATAGTTCTACAGTTACCAATTTGACATTTACATTCCTACTCACTTCTGAAAAAAAGACTTAGTATAGTTGCTGCATGAGTATTAGTGTGCTTTTAATGCAAACGTGGTTTACAACCCAAAGGTTTAATGCTTGCTCAGAACTCAAAGGTCAACTGTTATCAATGTAAAAAATTACTTTTTTAACAAAAAGTAAACAAAGTAAAAGTTTGTTGGAAAGTAAAAATTATTGTTACTTCAATCACAAAATCACATTTTCATGCAGAAACAATGTAATAAATACAGTTTAAGCTCCCTGGAAGGCTCATAAAGCCTATTTGATCTGGGATATAACAGAACTGCTTTAGACTTGCAATAAAATGTAATTGGCTATACTACATATATAATCAAAACATAAAGCTGAAGAATACATCATTTTTATTACAAATGCTAATATTTGAGAAATTAGATTTTATTTCAGCAAAATAATAGACTAATTAGAACTTTTTGGAGCTTTGAAGAAAACTTTAGAATCCTTTGAAAATTTTATTTATTCAATAATTATTCAGAGAGCACCTACTCTGGGCCACGTATTGTTCTGGGGGCTACAAAAATAACAACATAGATAAAATTTCCAAGACCTTATTACAATGGCAGAAATAAATAATGAAGAAATAAACAGCAATGAAAACAAAAAATAATTTTCATTGTCACATATGCTGCAAAGTAAATAAACTATATGGCATGATAAAAGTAACTTGGGAAGGCCACTTAAGACACAGAGAACAGAGAGATGATTGTTGAATTAATGTTTAAAAGATAAACAATACAAATTATAAAAAGAAAGACAGAAACCAATTTCTTGCAGTGAAGGTCCTATTTGGGATGTCAAGATGATAGAAGGGGAAGTTTCAGCCTTCAACTCTCCCTCCACCCCCAACCCCCACCCAGAAACACTGATTTTAACAACTACACATGATAGCAATGCTTTTATGGTAGCCCAGTCATTTAGTTAAAATGTTCCAGCACCTCCATGAAGCAAAAACAAAACAAACAAAAAAAAACTGAAGAATAAATACACTAAGGGGAGTAAGAATAGCTTCACTTTACCCATATTATCCCTCCCCAAGCGCAGCATAGCTCAATGCAAAGAGATTCACTCAGCCTGTGATTTCTCCTAGTGGGAAAAAGGGAGATCAAATGAGTGCCTGGCTTCCCCAGCCTTCTGGGATGCCATCCAGGAGGCTCACTTGTGTTTCACCCCACCCAAAACACAGGGAATAAGCATAGCAAAAACATCTAGGGGCAGCTAGGAGCAGGGACAAGAGGAGAGGCTTAGTGGCAGCTGGCACACAAATCTCAACAAGCTGCAGATCCTACTGGCTGGGTTGAAGACTCTGCCTGGATCTCCAAACGCGAGTCTCATGGGGTGTCTCAACTGTGAACATCCAACAAGCTGACATATATCCTCAGCACTCTGCATGCACCACTTGATGTGGCTGGCATCCTGAGCACACCATAGACATCAACATGTATGTGCTCCCTCCATGGAGAGCACACATGAACCACCACAGATTGCATGTGAGCTTTCACACATAGGACACATAAATTAGCAGACAGCTCTGATGGATCAGGAGAAAGTGCACAGCCAAGAACCTTCAGGTCACTGCCCTAAGGAAAATAAACAAAAGGCTCTCAGAGTCCAGCCTGCTTTGTGGGACTGAGAGAAAGCACATAATTCTAAGACACCTCCCCACCACCACCACCACTGAGAAAGAACAAGAGAAATGGGAAAGGCACATTCATATAAAGGTCTGAGAGTCCGGGCATAGTGGCTCATGCCTGTAATCCCAGCACTTTGGGAGGTCGAGGTGGGTGGAAATATGAGGTCAAGAGATTGAGACCATCCTAGTCAACATGATGAAACCCCATCTCTACTAAAAATACAAAAATTAGCTAAGCTAAGGGGGTGGTGGCACGCGCCTATAGTCCCAGCTACTAGGGAGGCTGAGGCAGAAGAATTGCTTGAACCCAGGAGGTGGAGCTTTCAGTGAGCCAAGATCGTGCCACTGCACTCCAGCCTGGACAACAGAGTGAGATTCTGTCTCAAAAAAAAAAAAAAAAAGAAGAAGAAGAAAAAGGCCTGAGAGACCCCCCTCCTCCAGAATCTCTAGCCAGGCTGACTGATAAAAGTTTTGTTTTGTTTTGTTTTTTGTTTGTTTGTTTTATAAGCTAGTTAGCTAGAGTGGAGGATGTGATTGCTCCTTCAACTGCAGCAATGAAAGTCTTCAAGAAACATGAAAGGAAGACAGTAACACAAAGCTTCTAGGAACATAAAAAAATCAAAGAAACATGACACCATCAGAGTAACAAAATAGCTGAACAGCTGACTCCAAAAAAATGTGGATATGAATTGCCTGACAAAGAGGTCAAAATAATTGTCTTTTAAAAACTCAGTGAGCTAAAAGACAACAAAAAAAGCACAATTAATAAAATCAGGAAAATTATGTATTAACAAAAGTAGAAATTCAAGAGAGATATAAATCATAAAAGGGCAGAAATTCTAGAGCAGAAGAATAAAATAACTCTACTGAAAAATTAAAGAGATTGAAACAGCACAATGAAGTAGTAGAAAGAATAAGCAAACTTGAAGACAGATCATCCATTTCAAATTATCCAGTCAGAAAAACAAAAAGAATAAAAATTAGTGAAAAAAATACTTTGGGATTTATGGGACATCCTAAAGCAAACTGATATACACATTATATGAGAGTCCAAAGGGAACAACAGAAAAAGATAAAGGGGTAGAAAATTTATTTACACAAACTAGAAAACCTAGGTGAGATTGATAAATTCTTGGACATATACACCCTCTCAAGACTGAACCAGGAAGAAATTGATTCCCAAACAGACCAATAATGAGCTCCAAAATTAAATCAGTAATAAATAGTTGACACATAAAAAAGGCCGAGGAGCAGATGGATACACAGCCAAATCCAGCAGTACATCAAAGAGCTATTCCACCATAAACAGATAGGCTTCATCCCTGGGATGCACATTTATTGATTTTTAAAATCAACAATTCAACAAATGTGATTCATCACATAAACAGAACTAAAGACAAAAACTACATGATTATCTCAATAGATGTTAAAAAGGCTTTTGATAAAATTTAACATCCCTTCTTGTTAAAAACTCTCAGTAAATTAGGTATTGAAGGAACATACCTCAAAATAATAAGAGCCGTCTATGGCAAACCCACAGCCAACATTATACTGAATGCGCAAAAGCTGGAAGCAGTCCCCTTGAAATCTGGCATAAGACAAGATTACCCTCTCTCACCACTCCTCTTTAACATAGTATTGGAAGTCCTAGCCAGAACAATCAGGAAAGAGAAGGAAATAAGAGGCATCCAAATAGGAAGAGAGGAAGTCAAACTATCCCTCTTTGCAGATGACATGATTCTATATCTAGAAAACCCCATAGTCTAGGACAAAAAGCTCCTTAAGCTGATAAACAACTGCAGGAAAGTTTCAGTATCCAAAATCAATGTACAAAACTCACTAACACTCCTACACACAAACAACAGCCGAGTTGAGATCCAAATCAGGAAGGCAATTCCATTCACAATTTCCACACACATACACACACAAAAAACTCTAGGAATACAGCCAACCAGGGAGATGAAAGATCTCTACAATGAGAATTACAAAACACTGCTCAAAAAAATCAAGACACAAACAAATGGAAAAACATCCCAAGCTCATGGATAGGAAGACTCAATATCATTAATGTGTCCATACTGTCCAAAACAATTTACAGATTCAGTAATATTTCTTTTTTTAATTAATTAATTATTTTTTAAATTATACTTTAAGTTCTGGGATACATGTGCAGAACGTGCAGGTTTGTTACATAGGTATACACATGCCATGATGGTTTCCTGCACCCATCAACCCGTCATCTACATTAGGTATTTCTACTAATGCTATCCCTCACCTAGCCCTCCCCTCCCCCGACAGGCTCCAGTGTGTGATGCTCCCCTCTCTGAGTCCATGTGTTCTCATTGTTCAACTCCCACTTATGAGTGAGAACATGTGTTTAGTTTTCTGTTCCTGTGTTAGTTTGCTGAGAATGATAGTTTCCAGCTTCATCCATGTCCCTGCAATGGACACGAACTCATCCATTTTTATGGCTGCATAGTATTCCATGGTGTATATGTGCCACATTTTCTTTATCCAGTCTATCACTGATGGGCATTTGGGTTGTTTCCAAGTCTTTGCTATTGTGAATAGTGCCACAATAAACATACGTGTGCATGTGTCTTTATAGTAGAATGATTTATAATCCTTTGGGTATATACCCAGTAATAGGACTGCTGGGTTAAATGGCATTTCTGGTTCTAGATTCTTGAGGAATTGCCACACTGTCTTCCAAAATGGTTGAATTAATTTACACTCCCACCAACAGTGTAAAAGCATTTCTATTTCTACACATCTTCTCCAGCATCTGTTGTTTCCTGACTTTTTAATCATTGCCATTCTAATTCACGAGATGGTATCTCATTGTGGTTTTGACTTGCATTCCTATAATGAGCAGTTTCAATCCAAAGAAGACTTTACCAATATATGTTATAATCAAACTCAAAGTAAAAGATGAAATTATGAAAACAGCAAGAGAATAGAGGCTTATGATGCACAAGGGAACCTCCGTAAGACTATCAGTATATTTCTCAACAGAAACCTTACATGCCAGGGAGAAGAGGATGATACATTTAAAGTACTGAAAGAAAGAAAGTGTCAACCAAGAATACAATACTTTACCTGGCAAAGTTGTCCTCCAAACATGAAGGAAAGATAGAGACTTTCCTGGAGAAACAAAAGCTAAGGGAAATTATCACCATTCGGCCTGCCTTACAAGAAATAATAAAGGGAATTCTTCAAGCTCCAATGAAAAATTAACATGAAAACATATAAAAGTATAAAATTCACTGGTAAAGATAAGCATACAGTCAAATTCAAAGTTAAGTTGTTACCAATTAAAATAACCTGTTATAATCATATAAACTGTAAGATATTTTAGTAACCCTCCTAGCAACCAGAAGGCAAAAACATACATTAGATACACAAAAAATAAGGAGAAAAATTTCAAGTATACCACTGTAGAAAATCATGAAAGGAAAACAACAAGAGAGGAAAAAAGAAACAAACAATTTACAAAACAACCAGAAAACAATTATCAAAATGGCAATAGTAAGTTCTTACCTATCCATAGTTTTCTTAAATTTAAATAGATTAAGTTCTCCAATTAAAAGACACAGAGTGAATGAATGGATGTAAAAAGAAAATCCAACCATAAGCTGCCTGCAAATGACTCACTTTACTAGTAAGAACACACGAAGACCAAAATTGAAAAGATGGAAGAAGATATTCCATGCAAATGGAAATCAAAAGAGAGCAGGGACAGGCATACTCACATCAGACAAAATAGACATTTAAGTCAAAAACTGTAAAAATGGACAAAGGTCATTTTATAATAAAGTGATCAATTCCTCAGGAGGTTACCCATTGTAAGTATATATGCATCAAACATAAAGCATGAAAATATATAACAGATCTGAAAGGAGAAATAGACAATAATAAAATAATAGTAGGATACTTTAATATTCTACTTTCTGTTATTATTATTAATATGAGTTTCATTGAGAAATCATTGTATACTTTGTGGGGTAAAATGTAATTAATTTCTTGATAGATGTATACAATGTGGAATGCTTAAATCAAGCTAGTTAACATATTCTTCACCTTGCTTACTCATCATTTTTATGGTGAGACATTTGAAATTTACTGTCTTAGTTATTTTGAAATGTACAATCGATTATTATGTGCTATAGTCACTGCTATACAATAGATCTCAAAAATTGTTCTGTCTGAAACTCTGTACCCTTAGATCAGCAATTCCTCATTTCCTCCCTCCCACCCCACCCCATCCACAGCCTATGGTAACCATCATTCTGCTTTCTACTTCTGTGATTTCAACTTTTTTAGATTCCACATTAAAGTAAGATCATACAGTATTGGTTTTTCTGCAGCTGGCTTATTTCACTTAGACTATTGTCTTCTGGGTTTCTCCATATTGTTTTAAATGACAGAACTTCATTCTTTTTTAAAGGCTGAGTAGTATTCCATTATATATATATGTATATCTGGTATGTGCATATAGGTACATATGTGTATATATGGATATACTTTGTGTGGATATATGTGTGCACATATTTGTACATATACACATACACTCATATACATATGTGTCCATGTGTGTATAGATGTACATATATACACATATATACACTCACCAGATATATACCGAAGTGCATATATGTGTATGTATATGTATATATGTACATATATGTATATGTATACATAGGTATATATACATATACACACACCACAAAGCTAAATGTCCATGGACAAATTAGTAAAGAACATATGGTTTTCTTCATTCATGTGTCCATGAACATTTAGCACGGGTATATGTGTGTGTGTGTGTAGATATATATATATATACACACACACACACACACACGTACATTTTATTTATTCATTTTTCCATGGACATCTAGTTTTGTTCTATATCTTGGTTAATGTGAATAATGCTGCAAGAACCCTGGGAAGGCAGAAACCTCTTTGATATATTGACTTCAGATTTCTTTAATATATACTCAAAAGTGAGATTACTGGCCCATAGTTCTATTTTTAGTTTTTTGAGAGACCTACATACCATTTTCTATAATGACTGCAACAACTTTACATTCCTATCATCAATGTACAAAAACTCCCCTTTCTCTGCATCCTTACCAAAAGTTATCATTCCTCTTTTTGATAAAAGCCATTCTAATAGTTGTGAGGTCATATCTTATTATGGTTTTAATTTGCATTTTTCTGTGGATTAGTAATGCTGAGCACTTTTTCATGTACATGTTGGCCATTTGTATGCCTTCTTTTGAGAAATGTCTCTCCAGGTTCTGCTTATTTTTAAACAGGGTTATTTGTTTTCTTGCTATTTAGTTCTTTGAGTTCCTTGTATATTTTGAATTTTAAAGCCTTATCAGATGTATGGTTTGCAAATATTTTCTTCCATTCTGTTTGTTGTCTCTTCACATTGTTGCTTCCTTTGCTCTTCAGAAGCTTTTTAGTTTGATGCTGTCCCAGTTGTGTGTGTGTGTGTGTGTGTGTGTGTGCATGCACGTGTGTATGTGTGTGTGTGTGTCTTTTGCTTTTGTTGCTTGTGCTTTGGGGGTGCTTTCCAAAAACTCATTTCCAAAGCCATTGTCTTAGAACTTTCCCCTTATGTTTTCTTCTAGTAGTTTTATAGTTTCAGATCTTATATTTAAGACTTTAATTCATTTTGAGTTGATTTTTATATGGTGCTAGAAAATGATCCAATTTCATTCTTCTGCATGTAGATTTGCAATTTTCTCAACACCATTGAGGAGACTGTGCTTTCTGCATTGTGTGTTCTTGACACCGTTGTCAAAAATCCATTGACCATAGATGCATGGATTTTTGGGCTCTTATTTTGTTTCATTGGGTAATGTGTCTGTTTTATGACAGTGTCATGCTATTGTGATTATAGTCACTTTATAATATGTTCTAAAATCAGGGAGTGTGATATCTCCAGCTTAGTTTTTATTTTTTTGTTTTGTTCTTTGTTCAACATTGTTTTGTGTATTCAGAATCATTTGTGGTCCTATATAAATTTAGGAATTGATTTTTCCATTTCTGTGAAAAATATATGAGAATTTTGATGGAAATTGCATTGAATCTGTGGATTTTTTGGGTAATATGGACATTTCAGCAATATAAATTCTTACTATTCTTGATCATGTTATATCTTTATTTGTATTCATTTCAATTTCTGTCATAGCTCTTTCATAATTTTCAGTATAGAGGACTTTTATCTCCTTGGTTACATTTACTTCTAAGTATTTAAATTTTTGTTGCTACATCTGATCTTCAACAAACTTGATGAAAACAAGCAATGGGGAAAGGACTCCCTATTTGATAAGCAGTGCTGGGAGAACTGGCTAGCCATATGCAGAAAATTGAAACTGGACCCCTTCCATATACCTTATATAAAAATTAACTCAAGATGGATTAAAGAGCTAAATGTAAAACCCAAAATTGTAAAAACTCCAGAAGAAAGTCTAGGCAATACCATTCAGGACATAGTTATGGGCAAAGATTTTATGATTAAATTGCCAAAATCAATTGCAACAAAAGCAAAAATTGAAAAATGGGATCTTATTAAACTAAAGAGCTTCTGCACAGCGAAAGAAACTATCATCAGAATGATCACACAACCTACAGAATGGGAGAAAATTTTTGCCATCTATCCATGTGACAAAGGTCTGATATTCAGCATCTACAAGGTACTCACACAAATTTACAAGAAAAAGAAAAACCCATTAAAAAATGGACAAAGGACATGAACAGACACTTCTCAAAAGAAGACATTTATATGGCCAACAAACATATGAAGGAAAGCTCAACATCACTGATTATTAGAGAAATGCAAATCAAAACCACACTGAGATACTATCTCACACCAGTCAGCATGGCGATTATTAAAGAGTCAAGAAGCAGCCAGGTGCAGTGGCTTACGTCTGTAATCCCAGCACTTTGGGAGCCCAAGGCAGGTGGATTGACTGAGGCCAGGAGTTTGAAACCAGCCTGGCCAACATAGTGAAACCCTGTCTCTACTAAAAACAAAAAAATTAGCTGGGCGTGGTGGTGCATGCCTGTAGTCCCAACTACTTGAGAGGCTGAGGCAAGAGAATTGCTTAAATCCAGGAGGTGGAGGTTGCAGTGAGCTGAAATCCCACCACTGCACTCCAGCCTGGGCAACAGAGTGAGACTCTATCTAGAAAAGAAAAAAAAAAGTCAAGAAACAATAGATGCTGGCAAAGCTGTGGAGAAATAGGAACTCTTTTACACTATTGGTGGGAATGTAAATTAGTTCAACCATTGTGGAAGACCGTGTGGTGATTCCTCAAAGATCTAGAACCAGAAATACCATTTGGCCCAGCAATTTCATTACTGGGTATATATACAAAGGAATAAAAATCATTCTATTATAAAGACACATGTTCATTGCAGCATATCCACAATAGCAAAGACATGAAATCAACCCAAATGCTCATCAATGATAGACTGGATAAAGAAAATACGGTACATATACACTGTGGAATACTATGCAGCCACAAAAAGAAATGTGATCATGTCCTTTGCAGGGAAATGGATAAAGCTGGAAGCCATTTTCCTCAGCAAACTAACACAGGAACAGAGAACCAAATATTGCATCTTCTCATTTATAAGTGGGAGCTGAACAATGAGAATACATGGACACAGGGAGGGGAACAACACACACTGGGGCCTGTTGGGGGAAGGAAGGGGGTAGAGCATTAGGGAAAAGAGCTAATGCGTGCTGGACTTAATACCTAGGTGATGGGTTGATAGGTGCAGCAAACCAACATGGTACACATTTACCAATGTAACAAACCTGCACATCCTGTACACATGTACCCCAGAACTGAAAATAAAATAATAAAATAATTTTTTGTTGCTATTGTAAATTAGATTTTTTCCCTTAATTTCCTTTCAAATAGCTCATTTTTAGTATATAGAAAAACTACTGATTTTTATATGTTTATTTTGTGTCCTGCAACTTTATTGTATTTTTATCAGTTCTAACAGTTTTTTTGTGGAGTCTGTAGGATTTTCTCTATATAAAATCATGTTGTCAGCAAATAGAAATAATTTCATTTCTTCCTCTTCTATTTGGATGCCTTTTATTTGCTTTCTTTTCTAATTGCTCTGGCTAGGACTTCAAGTACGCTTTTGAAGAGAAGCAGTGACAGTGGTATTCTTGGCTTGGTGCTGATCTTACAGGAAAAGCTTTCAAATTTTCATTGAAAATGATAACAACAATGGGTTTGCCATTTATATCCTTTATTGTATTGAAGTACATTCCCTCTATACTAAATCTATTGAGAATTTTTATCATGAAAGGGTGATAAAATTTGTCAAATGCTTTTTCTGCATCTATTGAGATTTTTTAATTATGTAATTATTATGTAATTTTTGTTTTTCATTTTGTTAATGAGGTATATCACACATATGGACTTGTATATATTGAACTGTCCTTGCATCCCAGGAATAAATCCCACTTGATCGTGATGAATGATTCTTTTATAGGTCGTTGACTTCAATTTGTTAATGTCTTATTTTATTTAAGATTTTTGTATTTATGTTCATCAAGAATACTAGCTTATAATTTTTGTTTCTTTTTATGACCTTGTCTGGCTTTGCCATCAGGCTAAGGTTGGCCTCATGAAATAAGTTTGGGAGTTATTCCTTTTGAGATCCAGAAAGATTCATAATATAATTTTAAACCTTTTAAATTTGTTAAGATTTGTGTGTGTGTGTGGTGTAGCATATGATCAATCTGCAGAATGTTTCATGTCCATTTGAGAAGAATATGTATTCTACTGCTGTTGGATAAAAAGATTTGTTTATGATTGTTTGGTTCATTTGTTGTAAAATTCATGCAAGTTTAATTTTTTTTATTGAGTTTTCTGTCTAGATGATATTTCCATTGTTAAAAGTAGAATTTTGAGGTCCCTCTACTGTTATAGTATTGTAATCTCTCTCTTCAGATTATTTAATAGTAGCTTTATATATTTAGGTGCTGTGATGTTGGGTCCATATATACTTATAATTGTTATGTCCTCTTGGTGTATTATTCCCTTTATCATATTTAGTGACCTTCTTTGTCTCTTTTTAAAATTTTGACTTAAGGTGAGTTTTGTCTGATATAAGTGTACCTATCCTTGCTCTTTTATGGTTTCCATTTGCATGGACTATCTTTTTCTATCCCTTTACTTTCGGTCTTTGTGCATCCTTACTAGAAAATTGAGTCTCTTTTTAGGCAACATATGATTAGATCTTGTTTTTTACTCCATTCAGCCACTCTGTATTTTTATTAGATAATTTAACCCATTTAAATATAAAGTAATTATTAAAGGTGAGGACTTGCTACTGCCAGTTGGTAATATGCTTCTGATTGTTTTGTGGTTTCTTTTCCTTCCTTCCTTCTTTCCTTCCTTCCTTCCTTCTTGCTTTCCTTTCTTTTCCCTTCCTTTCTTCCTTTCCTTTCCCTTCCTTCCTTTCTTTCCTTCCTTCCCTCCCTCCCTCTTTCTTCTTCCTTCTTCCTTCTCTTTTTCTTTTTCCTTGCTTCCTTCTTCCTTTCCTTTCCTTTTCTTTTCTTTCCCTTTCTTTCTTTTCTTTCCTTTCTCTCTCTCTCTTTCTTTCTTTCTTTCTTTCTTTCTTTCTTTCTTTCTTTCTTTCCTTCTTTCTTTCTTTCTTTCTTTCTTCTCTCATCCTTCTTTCTTCAGGGTCTCTGTGTCATCCAGGCTGGAGTCCACTGGTGTGATCTCAGCTCACTGCAACCTCTACCTCCACGTTCAAGCAATCCTCCTGCCTTAGCCACTCAAGTACCTGGGATTACAGGTGTGCACCACCACACCCGGCTAATTTTTGTATTTTTGGTAGAGATGGGGTTTGCCATGTTGCTCAGGCAGGTGTCGAACTCCTGGGCTCCAGTGATCTGCCCGCCTTGGCATCCCAAAGTGCTGGGATTATAGGCATGAGCCACTGCACCCGGCTGAAGTCTTTTCTTTCTTTCTTCCTCTCTTGCTTTCTTCCTTTGTGGTGTGATGATTTTCTGTGGCCATATGCCTTGAATCCTGTCTTTATATATTTTGTGAAATTGCTATAGGCTTTTGGTTTGCAGTTATAATGAAGCTTATATTAAATATCTTAACCTTATAACAGGCTGCTTAAGCTGATAAAAACTTCATTTTAATAGTGTACAAAATTTCTACACTTTCCTTTTCTCCCTCCCACCATTCGTGATTTTGATATCAAAATTTATCTTTTTTTGTAATTTTTATATTTTAAAAATTTATTGTAGTTATTTTTAAATAGTTTTATCTTTTAACCCTCCTAGTAGGGATAGAATTGCTTTACACACCACTCTCACAGTACAAGAGATTCTGCATATGACTATGTATTACTTGTACCATTGAGAATTTTACTTTCATATGTTTTATGTTATTAATTAGCAGACTTTCACTTCAGCTTAAATAACTTCCTTTAGCAATTTCTGTAATGCAGTCCTAGAGGTGATACACTACCTTAGCTTTTGTTTCTCTGAGAAAGTTGTTTTCCCCTCATTTCTGATCGATGATTTTTTTTTTTTTTTTTTTTTTTTAGCTTTAGCACATTGAATATGTCATACTACTCTCTCCTGGACTGCAGAGTTTTTGCTGACAAATCTGCTGACAGCCATGTTGGAACTCTCTTGATTGTGGTATGTCTTTTATCTCTTGCTGCTTTCAGTATTCATTCTTTGCCTGATTTTTCATAATTTAATATGACATGTCTTCATAAACTTCTCTTTGGGTTAGATTTGACTGGTAATCTCTGAGTTTTCTGTAACCAAGTGGTGTCATCTTTCCCAAAATTTGGAAAATTGATAGCCATTATTTTCTTATATATGTTTTTCAGGACTCTGTCTTTCTCATTTTCCTCAGGAATTGCTATTACGAAGGTTAATTCACTTGATGGTGTTCCATAATTCCCATTGATCTTCTTTACTTAGTCTCTTTTTTTTTGTTGTTTCTGCTTCTATGATTGAATAATTTCAAATGTATTTTAGAGCTCACTGATTCTTCCTTATTCTTAATCATGTCTCCTGTTGAAACTTTCTATTGAATTTTTCAGCTCAGTTATTATCTCTAAGATTTCAAATTTTTTGTTGTTTTGTTTCTTTGTCAAACTTACCATTTTGTTCATAAGTTGCCTTGTATATTTTATTTAATTTTTGTCCATATTTTCTTGGATTTCCCTTGGATTTTGAATTGTTAGTCTTTTCATAGATCTCCATTTTTTATAGAGTTGATTATTAGAACTTTATTCATTTCTTTTGATGGTGTCACATTTCCCTGATTTTTCATAATCCTTATGTCCTTACATAATGCTTGCACATTTGAGAAGATGGCCACCTCTTTCATCATTTGCAGGTGTTCTTTGGAATTTACAGACCTTTACCCTTTAGTCAAGCTTGGGATTTTGGATGGGCTAACTGGTAGCAACCCTGTACAGGCAAACCTTGGTGTTAGGTTCTCTAGTTGGGCTGGGTTACTTCTTGTGCTCTGAGATCATGTGGTATTGTTGGCTGTGCTCCATGTTCTGGTGATACCACTGGCTGGACTATGCCATCACACAGCTGCTGGCTAGGTCCTGTAAATATTTCTGATTGGGCAGGGATGAATATTGTCTCCATGGCTGGGCAATATTGTCTGGAATCTGAAGTTGAGAAATGCTGTGTGCAGGGCACTGAGGCTGGGTAACATCTCTGGGCTTGCTGTTTGGCCCACACTGGGTGGGTAGGGCCAGAGGTTATGTTCCACAGATATGCATGGACTTGGGCTTGCCTCTCAGTGTAAAGTGGGCTTAAGCAGAGTACCAAGAATATGTAGAGTTGCCACTCAACAGCCGTGAGTGGGTGGGACCGGATGTTCCCTCCATGAATAACCACTGACCTGCTGTTGCCTTCTGGCCTGGATAAGGCTTAACAAGAGCACCGGGGCTATGTGAGGGAGTTGATTAGGGACTCAAGTCTGGCAAACCTATGGAACATGCTTTCTGCCACATGATTCTGTGAGCTAGTCTCTACGTTTTGGTGCCTCTGCCATCTAGAATACAGACCAACAGCCAAGATCTGTACTTTGGTTGCTGTGAGCCCCACCCTTGCATTTTGTTTCTAATTGACCTCAGGTGATCTATTCCTGCTGGTAATGTCAATGTTTCCTATAGGGCAAGACAGAAATAGGCCCCTTGCAAAGGGTCCCAGAAAGGTGGTGAGCTGAATGTCCACCTTCAACTCACTTCTTCCACTGTAAAAACCATGGATTTTGTCACATCCTCTGTGTGTAGTGCTGTCCTGGGTTATGGGAAGGGTGACATCGCCCAAGAGAACCATTCTTCTTATCTTTTGAATGCAGCATTTTTCAGTTCTAGTTTCCCAAGGGATATCTCAGCCTCACTCCTGAGTTTGGGATATTCACAAAAGTATTTTTGCCTGAGAATATTTGTTAGTTGGATTTCTGTGTGTGGGTGTGTGTGTATAGCACAGGTGTGGGCTGGAGTTGGGGGAGTAGTTTAGCTGAAGAATTCCTGTTCCACCATTTTGCTAACATCATTTCTACCAATACCCCACTTTCAACAGTGGACAGATCATTCAGAATTAAATTAATAAAAAATTGGATGTGACCTTCACATTAAACCAAATGGACCTAAAAATTTATAGAACATTTTATCCAACTGCAGCAGATACACATTTTTCTCAATCACACATGGTACATTCTCTAGGATAGATTATGTGTTAGGCCACAAACAAGTTTGAATACATTTCTAAGAATATTGAAATCACATCAAGTATATTTTCCAATCACAATGCTATAAAACTATAAATGAATAATATAAAATATTTGAAAATTCACAAACACATGGGAATTAAACAACACACTCATGAACAACCAATGGGTCAAAGAAGGCCTCAGAAGGAAACTTAAAAATATCTACAGACAATGAAAATGGAAACATAACATACCAAAACTTATGGAATGAAGCAAAAGCAGTTCTAAGAGGAAAGTTTATAGCAACAAATGCCTACATTAATAAAAAAGAAAGACTTTAAATAAAAAGCCTAACATTACACTACAGGGAATCAGAAAAAGAAGAAAAAACTAAAACCAAAATTAGAAGGAGGAAGGAAAAAAACAAAGAAATAAATGAGCAGAGCAGAAATAAATGAAACTGAGACTAGAAAAGTATTAAAAAAGATTAACAAAACTGGGTTTGCTTATGAAAAGATAAAATTGAGAAACTCTTAGCTAGAATAGGAAAAAGAGAGAAGATTCAAATAAATAAGATTAGAAATGAAAGATGATACACTACTAGTCAAGACAATCCTAAGCAAAAGAACAAAGTTGGAGGCATCATGCTACTCAACCTCAAGCTATACTACAAGGCTACAGTAACCAAAACAGCATGGTACTCATAAAAACACAGACACATAGAAAAATGGAATAAAATAGAGAACTCAGAAATAAGACCACACATCTACAACTATCTTATCTTCAGCAAACCTGACAAAAACAAGCAATGGGGAAAGGGTTCCCTATCTGATAAGTGGTGCTGGGAGAACTGGCTAGCCATATGCAGGAAATTGAAACTGGACCCCTTTCTTATACCTTATACAAAAATCAACTCAAGATGGATTAAAGACTTAAATGTAAAACCCAAAACTATAAAAACCCTAGAAGAAAATCTAGGCAATACCATTTAGGACATAGTCAGGAGCAGAGATTTTATAACAAAAACATGAAAAGCAATTGCAACAAAAGCAAAAATTGAAAAATGGGATCTAATTAAACTAAAGAGCTTCTGCACAGCAAAAGAAACTATCATCAGAGTGAACAGACATGGGAGAATCAAAGAAAAGTTTTGCAATCTATCCATTTAACAAAGGTCTAATATCCAGAATCTACAAGGAACTTAAAACAAATTTACAAGAAAAAACCAACCCCATTAAAAAGTGGGCAAAGGACATGAACAGACACTTCTCAAAAGAAGACATTTATGTGGCCAAAAAACATGAAAAAAAAGCTCAACATCACTGATTATTAGAGAAATGCAAATCAAAACCACAATGAGATACCATCTCATGCCAGTCAGAATGGTGATTATTAAAAAGTCAAGAAACAACAGATGCCGGCAAGGCTGTGAAGAAATAGGAACTCCTTTACACTGTTTATGGGAATGCAAATTAGTTCAACCATTGTGGAAGACAGTGTGGCGATTCCTCAAAGATCTAGAACCAGAAATACCATTTGGCCCAGCAATCCCATTACTGGGTATATTCGCAAAGGAATATAAACCATTCTACATGCATGACTATGTTCATTGCAGCACTATTCACAATAGCAAAAACATGGAATTAACCCAAATGCCCATCAATGATAGACTGGATAAAGAAAATGTGGTACATATACACCATGGAATACTATACATCCATAAAAAGAAATGAGAGCATGTCCTTTTCAGGGACGTGGATGGAGCTGGAAGCCATCATCCACAGCAAACTAACACAGGAACAGAGAACCAAACACTGTTTGTTCTCACTTATAAGTGGGAGCTGAACAGTGAGAATACATGGACACAGGGAGGGGAACAACACATACTGGGGCCTGTTGGGAGGTGGAGGCAGGGAGAGGGAGAGTGTCAGGATAAAAAACTAATGCATGCTGAGCTTAACACCTAAGAGATGGGTTGACTGGTGCAGCAAACCACCATGGCACACGTTTACCTATGTAACAAACCTGCATGTCCTGCACATGTATTCCAGAACTTAAAATATTTTTAAAGAAAAAAAGATGACACTTATAACTGATACTACAGAAATACAAAGGATTATTAGAAACTACTCTGAACAATTGTATACCAACAAACTGGATAATCTAGAAAAAAATGACACATTCCTGCATACATACAGTCTACCATGACTGAATCATTATGAAATAGAAAATCTGAACAAACCAATAATAAGTAAGAAGATTGAATCAGTAATAAAAAGTCTTTCATCAAAGAAAAGCACAGGACAGGATGGCTTTGCTGCTGAATTCTACCCAACATTTAAGGAATAATTAATACCAATTATTCTCAAACTTCCCAAAAATTGAAGTGAAAGTAATACTCCCAAAACTTAATTTGTGAGGCCAGCATTACCCTGATAGCAAAGCCAGACGAGGTCATAATATGAAATAAAAATTACAAGCCAGCATTCTTGATAAACATATATGTAAAAATGCTAAATAAAATATTAACAAACTGAAATCAACAACCCATAAAAGAATCATTCGCCATGATCAAGTGAGATTTATTCCTGAAATGCAAGAAAGATTCAACATATGCAAATTAACAAATTTCATACACTACATTAACAACATTAAGGATAAAAATCATGTGACTATCTCAACAGATGCAGGAAAGGCATTTGCCAAAATTCAACATTCTTCATGATAAAAAACACTCAACAAATTAGATCTGCAAGGAATGTACCTCAGTACAATAAAGGCTGTATATGACAAGACCAGAGGTAACATTACCATTCATGGTGAAAAGCTGAAAGCTTTTCCCTTACCATCAGTACATAGGTAAGAATGCCCACTTTCACCCCTTTTTTTTTTCCAATAGGGTACTAGAAGTCCCAGCCATAGAAATTAGGCAAAAGAAAGAAATAAAAGGCTTCCAAATTGGAAAGGAAGAGGTAAAATTGTCTCTGTTTGCAGATGGCATATTATATATATATATAGAAAACCCTAAGTACTCTATCAAAGAAGTATTGGAACTAATAAATTAATTCAGGATAGAAAATTAATATATAAAAATTACTAGTGTTTCTCTACACTAACAACAAACTACACAATCACATTTACAACAGCATCCAAAATAGTAAAATCCTTAGAAAGAAATTTAACCAAGGAGGTGAAAAATCTACACACTGAAAACTATAAAACATTGATGAAAAAATAAAAAATACACATAAATGGAAAGACATTTCATGTTTATAGACTGAGAGAATCAATATTGTCAAAATGTTCATACTGCCCAAGGCAATGCACAGATTCAGTGAAATTCCTATCAATGGAATTTTATTATAGTTTTATACAATCTATATATATACATATACGTATATACACACATATACGTATATGTGTATATATGTATGTATATATGTATATGTATATGTGTATATAGATTGTATATATAATATATAATAAATATATAGATTGTATATATATACATATACATATACATATATACACATACAAATCCCAGGAGACATTATTTTAGTTTTATACAATCTATATATACATATACGTATATACACATATATGTATATACACATATACATATATGTATATATAGATTGTATAAAACTATAATAAAATAATGTCTCCTGGGATTTAAAATGCACATTGAATTAAAATACAAAAAATAAGCACAGAAGTCAGAAGATAGATAAGAGAAAATAAACTGTTCTAAAATTCTTACCTTGTATGAGAAAACCAAAGTTTTCACATAAATAAAAAAAATCCTGAAAATTTTATGGAACCACAAAAAATCCCAAATAGCTAAAGCAATGTTGAAGAAGAACAAAGCTGCAGGCATCACACTTGGTAAGTTAACAGAAGAGGAAAATGGGCAAAGAGAAAATGAGGTAATCTTGATAAGTTAATATAGGAGAAAAATGGGCTAGATAACAGTAAAATGATATAAACTCAAATATATGTATCAATGATTATATTAAAAGTAAATAGCATATTTAAATTAAAAGACAAAGGAAATGACTGCATAAAAATAACAATGATAGGTTGCTTATAAGAAACTGTGGGAGCCATAGACTATTGGTCCCCTAAAGGTTCACTGAAAAATCCCTGACATGAGGTCGATTAACAGGAGAAAAGGCATACGAATTTATTTAATGTGTTTACATGGGAGTCTTCAGAATGAAGACTCAACCCAAAAATAAGATACAGAAGCTTATATACCATCCTGAGGCCACTGAAAAAAATGTGGACTCAGAGCATGGACCCAAACAGGTTATGTGGGTAAATCAGGTTTACTGGAAAGACAGATCATGAGAGGGAGAAAGGAAGAGGTTTGGCTAGCAAAGTTGGACTTGTTATATAGATGAAGCCTCCCTCATAGAGAATAGATGGTAAATGTTTCTTTTCAGATTTTTGAAGGTGTCAGACTCTCAATCTCTCCTAGATCCAAGAGAGGCATAGAAATGGATGGCATGGCTGCATTAATGAAGATTCTCTAGGGGTGCAAATTTCCCCTACCTCAGTCTGCTAGCCTCGAGGCAGCCATTTCAAATATATATCAAAAGATAAATTTTGGGGTAAAATAGTTTTTATTACCTTTAATACATATTTTAAGTATACTGGCATAAAGATTGAAAGTAAAAGAACAGAAAAAACATGCCATACAAAACACTAAATGTTATATAGTTATGCTAATATTAGATAAATTAGAAGTTAAAGCAGTAGATATTATAGAGATAAAAATTCAATCATTTAATAAGGAATTTAAAACAAAGAAATGAGATTCTAAATTTATATTTACCCAATAATACAGCCTCCAAATATATAAAGAAAATCTCTTAGAGAAATCAAAGAAGCAGGCAAATAGGAGAAGATTTTACTGACAACTCCCAGTTACTGATAAAATTAACAGGCCAAAATTAGTAAAGATATAGATGATACAGATGATTAGGCAACGTGATTAATATACTTGACTTCATTTAAACATATAGAATACTGTGCAGTGGAACTGCAAAATACATATTCTTTTCAATTGTACATGGAACATTACTAAAAATAGATTATATACCAGACCATAAAGTGATTCTGAAGAAATTCTATAGTATTAGAGCCATACATAGTATGTTTTCTGTGCCAAGTAAAATTAAAGTGTAACAGAGCCTATATTTTAAAAATCTTAAGGTGTTTGCTCTACTTATTTTCCTTCTCTTTGTCCTTTTCTTCTTCCATGCATGATTGCTTGCACTTAGTCATTTCCATAGAGAGAGAGTAGTCACTAATAATTGATTAACTTTACATCCTGACCCTTGGGAGTTGCCTACTTGATTAATGAACTTGTTTTTCAGAGAACAGTAATTCTTAGGTCATGCTGACCTCCTTGATGGCATTCAGAAGTTTGATTAGCTGAGGGATGCAAGCAGCTTTGATCACTGGGGACCTCACTTCCTGCATACTTACCTTATTCATAAAAGTCACCAGTTATGTTCAAAGCCATGTTGGATTTGAGAGTCTGCCTCTCCTCTTCTCATGCTTTAGCCAAATCAAATAAACCTTTCTCTGCTCCTAAACAGTGATATGTCAGTGTTTGGCTTACTGTGCAAATCGTACTCAAAACTAGCTTTTGGGGTTTTTACAACAAATGTAGAAATAAAAGGGGACAACTATAATATCTCAAAATATTTAGACACTAAGCAACATACAAATAAATAATGGATTCAAAGAAGACATCATGATGATAATTTTAAAAGATTTTGGAAATTGGAAGTAGCATGAGAAAAAGGATTCATTACATGTCAGAGATGCTTAATAAAATTAACAGCAGATTTCTCATCAGAAACCATGGAGACTAGAAGAAAATGGGATGACATATTCAAAGCTCTGAGAGACAAAAACCGTGTCAATCAAGAACACCATATCTGGCAAAATAATTCTTTTAAAATAGAGAAATTAAGACATTGCCAGATAAACAAACATGAAGAGAGTTTGCTACTAGCAGACCTGCCCTCTAGGAAACATTGAAAAGAGTCCTTCAGGCTGAAGAGAAAGAACACGAGACAGTAACTTGAATACACGTAAAGAAAATAAAGAACACTAGTAGAGATACTGACATAGGTAAACATAAATGACAGTAAAATGTATATTCTGTTCGTAACCCTTTTTTTTCTTGTATCTGATTTAAAAGACAACTGCATAAATCAAAAATTGTAAGTCTAAGTTGATGGACACACAATGTAAAAAGATGAAATTTGTGAAAATAACAGCATGAAAGAGACAGGAAATAGAACTTTATAGAAGCAAAGCTTTTGTATACTATTGAAATTAGGTTGGTGTTAATCCAAAATACATTGTTATAAATGAAGTTGTCATGGTAATCCCCAGGGCACCACTAAGAAAATACCATTTAAAAATGACCCAGGAAATAAAAGTTAAACTTTTTCTACTTTAATGGATACTATCAAGCAAGTGAAAATGGTAAAACTGGAAGAAAGTATTTGCAAATCATATATCTGATAAAGGTCAAATATCCTGAATATATACAGAATTCTTACAACTCAATAATAAAAATAAATTTAAACAAGTTTTTAACAATGAGCAAAAGGCGTGAGTAGACATTTCTATAAAAATATACAAATGGTGGATAAGCTTATGAAAAGGTGTTCAATATCATTGGACATTAGGAAAATGCAAATTCAACCCAAAATGCAATGCCAATTTATACTTACTGAGAAGGTTATAGTTTAAACAAATGAACAAATGTTGGGGACCCTGAAAATATGTTAGAACTCTCATACATTGCCTGTGGACATGTAAAATCATACAGCCACTGTGGAAAACATTTTTTGCAGTTTCTCAGAAAGTTAAATGTAGAATGATCATAAGATTCAGGAATTATACTCCTCAGTATGTACCATCAGGATTGAAAACACAGCTTTGCACAAAAATATGTACACTTGGTACGTAGCTGGATTACTTATAACAGCCAAAATGTAGAAACAACCCAAGTGTGTAACAACTGATGACTGGAGAAACAAAACGCTTAGTCATACAATGAAATGTTACTCAGCACGAAAAAGGAAAGAAGTACTGATATATGGATGAACCTTGACAGCATTATGCTAAGTGAAAGAAACCAGAAACGTAAGACTACATGTTGTATATTCCATTTATATGACATGTCCAGTTCGTGGCTGTTGTCCCAAAGTAATACTTAACACATCCTTTTCATGTTCAAAATTGCCCCCATTTGAATGATAAATTGCAAGATAATCCTATTATTGTGTAAAATCTGTGGTAGAGTGTGAAGGTGTGTTTGATTAATCTGAGAGAGAAGAGTAGTGCTATAGAGCAATATTGGATTAGACACTTTTCCAGGATGCATTCCAGAGTAAGTTGCTTCAAACAAATTTGGTAAGACCAAGGACTAGGCCAAAAACAAGAAACAAGAATAGTACATAAGCAATGACAACTATCATGTGAACTCTCTTCTTCTGTAAGGTACACTTATATATGTAATGATAATGACTCAGAAAGTGCTGGGAGGCAAAACTTTCCAAATAATAATCATCTCCTATTGAATAGAAAATGCATGTTATACCAATTTTAAAAATAGTACCAAGTAGTTTTGTTTTGTGGATTACTGCTCTTCAAGAATGATTCTATCTAGTCCTCTTCATTACTTATAAATAAATACTTTCTAAGGACACTTTTTCCAAATGAAGATTTCATTTCTAAAACCTGTAACAATATTACTTACAAGATTCTTAGTGGAGACCTTGTAAATATACCTGTGCTGTTTCAGGTATTCTAGAAAATTAAGCACATTTCTTACCTTTCTTATTGATAGCTCTTTGCATTCAGAAATGCACTATTCATTTTAAATGAAATACGAGTAACTTTCTTAATTCTATGTTACTAAAACAAAACAATTTGAATGTGCTTCCATGATTGAAAGAAAGCATATGTCTGAAGTATCCACTTTTACTAGGAAAATTAACAAAAATGAAAATTGCTTGTGTTGAATATTTAAAAATTTGATGACAATAAAAATTATATTTTCACTAAAGTATTCTAAAATATGATTATTAAATGGATCTCATTGATGTAACAAGGCAGTCTTGAAGTACCTACTTTAGCCTCAAGCATTGTAAATTTTTTTAAAGCCTATTTTGTGGAATACAATGCAGCCATAAAAAAGAATGAGTTCATGTCCTTTGCAGGGACATGGATGAAGCTGGAAACCATCATTCCCAGCAAACTAACACAGGAACAGAAAACCAAACACCACATGTTCTCACTTATAAGTGGGAGCTGAACAATGAGAACACATGGACACAGGAAAGGGAACATCACACACCGGGGCCTGTTGGGGGTGGTGGGCAAGGGGAGGGAGAGCATTAGGACAAATACCTAATGCATGTGGGACTTAAAACCTAGATGATGAGTTGATAGGTGCAGCAAACCACCATGGCACATGTGTACCTATGTAACAAACCTGCGCATTCTGCACATGTATCCCAGAACTTAAAGTAAAATGAAAAAAAAAATGTCTATTTCAAATACTACTAAATATTTGAAGGACATTTTTTCTAATTAGAACAATATACACATTATATTTATAGTTTTTTTAAAACTACATTTTCATTTTTTCCTATGTGACCAACATTAGGAAAATATACTTCAGATTTTGTGGAATCTTCTTTTTGCAATATTTCCTTATTTTTGAACTTTATGTAGCAAAAAGCACTTTTCACCAGTCAGCGTTTACAACTATTTATCTAATTCCTAGTGGTCACAGGAGAGGGTCTGGCCTAAGAAAGACGCATGCTCAGTGGAGCTCATTTGCCTGGCATCTTCCAGGAAGAAAGTATCTGGAATCACTACAGGAGCATCCAGGAAGTCGGTCTCTCTATCTCTCTGTCTCTCTAGGTCTCTTTGTCTCACCCACCTTGTTAGACCAGCTTCTTCCTATCAGAAGAATTAACAGAGAAATGTCTCTAATATCAAATTTCTTGAGGCTGAGAGAAAAAAAAGGCAGAATACCATTTTGTCAGTTATTCCCAAGACAAATACTGTAGGAAACGTGAAAAGCTAGAAAGAGAAAAAGAGAATATGGTTAAATGCCTTTGCACTATATTCAGAAGGAATTGGCCTAAAACAGAGCCTATATGGAAGGAGAACAAAGTTGGGAGACTGGCACTATCCAACTTCAAGACAAAGCTACAGTAATCAAGGCAGTTTGGCACTGGCAAAAAAATAAACAAATAGGCCTACGGGACAGAATAGAGAGCTCCAAAATAGATCCACATAAATATAGTCAACTGATCTTTGACAAACTAGCAAAGGCAAAACAATGGAGAAAAGCTAGTCTTCCCAACAAATGGTACTGGAACAACTCAACATCCACATGGCAAATAGTGAATACAGTTACAAACCTTATACCTTCACAAAAATTACCTAAAAATGAACTATAACCTAAATGTAAAATGCAAAGCAATAAAACTCCTGGAAGATAACGTAGGAGAAAACCAAGATGACCTTGGTTTAGAAATGATGTTTTAGATATAACATCAAGTAAGTGATTCATTAAAGAAATAACAAAGGTTAGACTTCATTGAAATAAAAAAAAAATCTGTTCTGCAAAAGACACTGTTAAGAGAATGAAAAGACAAGCTTGAAATTGGGAGAAACTATTTGCAAAAGACATATCTGATAATAGACTTATCCAAATTGTACAAAGAACTCTTAAATCTCAACAATAAGAAACAAACAACCAAAAGACAATGGGCCAAAGATATAAACAGACACTTTACCAAAAAAGATATACAGATGGCAATAAGCATATAAAAAGATGTTCAACATCATGGCATTAAAACATCATGCAAATTAAAAAAAAAAAAACAATGAATTATCACCACACACATAGAAGAACTAAAATCCAAAACACTGACAACACTTAGGATAGAGGTGGAGCAACAGGAACTCTCATTCATTACAGGTGGGAATACAAAAAGGTACAGCCACTCTGGAAGACAGTTTGGCAGTTTCTTTATAAAATGAAACAAACTTACCATATAATCCAGCAGTTGTGCTCCTTGGTATTTACCCAAATGAACTGAACACTTATATCTACACAAAAACCTGCACATAGATGTTTACAGCAGCTTTACTGGTAACTGTCAAAACTTGGAAGCAAGACGATCTTCAGTAGTGAATGGATAAATAAACTGTGGTACATCCAGATGATGGAATATTATTTATTGCAAAAAGGAAATAAGCTATAAAAACACATGGAAGAAATGTAAATGCATATTACTAAGAGAAAGAAGCCAATCTTAAAAAAGCCAAATGCTATATAATTCCAATTATATGACATTCTGGAAAAGATAAAACTGTGAAGGTAGTAAAAAGGTGACTGTTTGCCAGGGATTAAGCAGGAGAAAGGGAGGCATAGGCAGGACGCAGAGGATTTTTTGGCCAGTAAAGCTGCTCTGTATGATACTGAATAGGTGAGTACATGCCATTATACAGTTGTAAAATCCCTAGAATGTACAACACCAAGAGTGAACCCTAATGTAAACTATGGATTTGGGGTGACAGCAATGTGTCAGTGTAGGTTTATCAATTATAACAAATGTGTGACTGTGATACAAGATGTTGATAGTAGGAGAGGCTGTGCTTGTGTGAGGGCAGGCTGTATGGGGGAACTCTGTGTACTCTGTATACAGTTTTTGCTGTGAACTCAAAATGGCTTTAAAAACTAAAGCTTTTTTTTTCTTTTTAAAAAAAGAATTTCTCGTTTTATCCTCTGCATTCACTTAGCAAAGATAAAGGTGAGCCTGGAGTTGTTTCTCAAGTCGGGGTACTGAAGAAAGAAAGTAAAGGGCTATTGTTGCCTGCCACCAGCTTTCAGATAGCCTGTCAATCAAAGATAGCTTTGTGCTGTACTCAAAGACAGCAACACAGCTCCCTGTGCTGGGGTTGTTAAAGTCGTATCTGAAATTGCACTCACTCCTCTCATAGTCCTGAGGTACCAACTCTATTTGTATTTGTGGGCTTCAGTTTTACTCTTTCCTAAGACTTTTTCTAGATAATTTCTGTTTGTTTTTTTTTTTCTGGTGTGTAGTTTTTGTTTCACTTGTAAAGTGAACAAAATTTAGAAATCAACGGTAAAAAAATGGAGAGAGCCCCTTAGAATTATTTTTTCATTACAAAAAATTAGGCAGGCATGGTGGCGGGTGCCTGTAGTCCCAGCTACTCAGGAGGCTGAGGCAGGAGAATGGCGTGAACCCGGGAGGCGGAGCTTGAAGTGAGCTGAGATCGCACCACTGCACTCTAGCCTGGGCAGCAGAGCGAGACTCCGTCTCAAAAAAATAAAAAATAAATAAAAGAATTATTTTTTCATACATACATTTAAAAAACATGGCAATGCTCTATACTTTAGATGATAAAGTTGTTTTGCATGGGAGTATGGGTTATTTATTCTGTTATTGCTATACATGTACACTGACACTGAACAGTGAAGTAAATGGATGGCAGATGGTGGTAGCCAAGTTTCTCACTGCTGGAGTAGAAATCTATAGATAAGCAAGGGGAGGAAGCTAGAATGATCCATGTGGTAATAGGTTAGATTTGGATAATTCAGTATCAACTCATGTTTAGCTTAATAAACAGATGGTTATGAATAGTAATATTTATAAATATGTATATATATAGGGGTAAGTATACAGACATGTATTTTCCTTTTCCGTCAGTTGAGGCAAACAAACGAGTTAGTGACAAGCACACCTAGCACCAAGATCTTGGTGTCTAATACCATTCTCTAGTAAAGGTAAGCAGGACTTGGAGAAATGGCTGATTTGAGCACCGGGGCTGGAAATATACAAAATGACCTCAAGCATCATGGCACTTTGTTGCTCAGAAATGAAGAAGTACTAAAAGCAAAACAAACAAACAAACAAACTAAAAACCCATAATGATGAAGTTATATTACAAGGACAACAGAAGGAGCTCTCAATGGTCAACCTGGAACAATGGGAGCATAAGAAACGCAGTATTTATAGCCCAAGGTATTAAATAAGTATTATGTCTGTGAGTGGATACAAATGATTCAATAAATCAATAAATGGGGGAGAAAAGACAAATCACCCATGTAGAAGAATTTCAAGTAAATTATTTAGATACTCCACCCTACATGAAGGGGAGCATAGCTGTTCACTCCTTAAGTGTGGGCTATGCACAGTTACTTCCTTCCAAAGAGTACAGTATGGAAAAGGGGAAAAACAGTTATGTTATAATGGAGAAACCTGACAAACGCTACTTGGACAGATGATCAAGGTCAACATCAATAGTGATAAGTCATTTTGCTTGTCTGTACATTTGATATGATGTGATGAAAATGACTCTTTACTTCTGTGATCTTCCTCTCTAAAATGTATAACCCTAAGCTAATCATGAAAAAGAAACACCAGCCAAATCCCAATTGAGGGACATTTAACAAAATATCCAGACAGGTACTCCTCAAAACTGTCAAGGTCATCAAAAAAATGTAAGTCTGAGAAACTATAGCAGCCAAGAGGAGCCTAAGAAAACACGACAATTTGCCAGGCGCGGTGGCTCTCGCCTGTAATCCCAGCACTTTGGGAGGCCAAGGTGGGCGGATCACGAGGTCAGGAGTTCCAGAGCAGTCTGACCAACGTGGCGAAACCCCACCTCTACTAAAAACACAAAAAAGTTAGCTAGGCATGGTGGTGGACCCCTGTAATCCCAGCTACTTAAGAGGCTGAGGCAGGAGAATTGCTTGAACCTGGGAGGCGTAAGTTACAATGAACTGAGAACATGCCATTGCATTCCAACCTGGGTGGCAGAGTGAGACTCTGTCTCAAAAAAGAAAAAAAAGAAAAGAAAGGAAAAAGAAAAAAAAGAAAACATGACAATTAAATGATTAAATGTAATGTGGTAGCCTGTATGAGATATTGAGATTTTGGAATAGCAAAAGGACAAAACTAAATCTGTATTAAGTATGGACTTAAGTTAATATCAAAGTATCAATATTGGTTCATTAACGTAACAAATGTGCCATACTATATTTGACTTTACTAACAGGTGAAGCCTAAGAAACACTGTCTAAGCTAAAGGGCCAAGGTCAACATCAACAGCGGTAAGTCATATTGATAGTATGTACATTTCATATGATGTGATGTAAATAGCGTTTTAACTTCTGTGATCTTTCTGGTACTGGGTATGTGGGAACTCTCTGTTCTCTCTTTAACATTTTTCTGTAAACATAAAACTAGTCTAAAATAGAAAGTTTATTTTAAAAATCATGGCATTTTGTTGCTCTAGGAAAGGTGATATATAAAAGAATGTGCCTTAATGTGTCTCTGTCATATGCTTGCAGAAAGAGGAGACTTTGGGACTTGGAAGTGACTCCTAAAATAGAGTATTTTTAAAACTATGGAACATAACCTCAATAACATTATTGAGAATGGCTACTTGGCAAATAAGGGAACTTTTGCATCAGAGATTATTTATGATACATCACAATAGCAATCTTAAAAATGGAAGCAGATTCTGAGAGACCTAAAGCACAAATAAATGATAAAGGATTGCAAGTGTAAATATTAGGTTTCTCTAGGATGAAGAAATCTCCTTAAAAAAAGGCCTACGTTTCAAAGCCTAGCTGTGCAGGATGAATGAAAATCCATTTGCCCAATAAACTAGAAAATCTAGAAGAAATGGATAAATTCCTTGACACATACACCCTCCCAAGACTAAACCAGGAAGAAGTTGAATCTCTGAATAGACCAATAACAGGCTCTGAAATTGTGGCAATAATCAATAGCTTACCAACCAAAAAAAGCCCAGGACCAGATGGATTCATAGCCGAATTCTACCAGAGGTACAAGGAGGAGCTGGTACCATTCCTTCTGAAACTATTCCGATCAATAGAAAAAGAGGGAATCCTCCCTAACTCATTTTATGAGGCTAGCATCATCCTGATACCAAAGCCTGGCAGAGACACAACAAAAAAAGAGAATTTTAGACCAATATCCTTGATGAACATTGATGCAAAAATCCTCAGTAAAATACTGGCAAACCGAATCCAGCAGCACATCAAAAAGCTTATCCACCATGATCAAGTGGCCTTCATCCCTGGGATGCAAGCCTGGTTCAACATACACAAATCAATAAATGTAATCCAGCATATAAACAGAACCAAAGACAAAAACCACATGATTATCTCAATAGATGCAGAAAAGGCCTTTGACAAAATTCAACAACCTTCATGCTAAAAACTCTCAATAAATTAGGTATTGATGGGACGTATCTCAAAATAATAAGAGCTATCTATGACAAACCCACAGCCAATATCATACTGAATGGGCAAAAACTGGAAGCATTCCCTTTGAAAACTGGCACAAGACAGGGATGCCCTCTCTCACCACTCCTATTCAACATAGTGTTGGAAGTTCTGGCCAGGGCAATCAGGCAGGAGAAGGAAATAAAGGGTATTCAATTAGGAAAAGAGGAAGTCAAATTGTCCCTGTTTGCAGAAGACATGATTGTATATCTAGAAAACCCCATCATCTCAGCCCAAAATCTCCTTAAGCTGATGAGCAACTTCAGCAAAGTCTCAGGATACAAAATCAATGTACAAAAATCACAAGCATTCTTATACACCAATAACACACAAACAGAGAGCCAAATCATGAGTGAACTCCCATTCACAATTGCTTCAAAGAGAATAAAATACCTAGGAATCCAACTTACAAGGGATGTGAAGGACCTCTTCAAGGAGAACTACAAACCACTGCTCAATGAAATAAAAGAGGATACAAACAAATGGAAGAACATTCCATGCTCATGGGTAGGAAGAATCAATATCATGAAAATGGCCATACTGCCCAAGGTAATTTATAGATTCAATGCCATCCCCATGAAGCTACCAATGACTTTCTTCACAGGATTGGAAAAAACTACTTTAAAGTTCATATGGAACCAAAAAAGAGCCTGCATCGCCAAGTCAATCCTAAGCCAAAAGAACAAAGCTGGAGGCATCACGCTACCTGACTTCAAACTATACTACAAGTCTACAGTAACCAAAACAGCATGGTATTGGTACCAAAACAGAGATATAGATCAATGGAACAGAACAGAGCTCTCAGAAATACTGCCACATATCTATAACCATCTGATCTTTGACAAACCTGAGAAAAGCAAGCAATGGGGAAAGGATTCCCTATTTAATAAATGGTGCTGGGAAAACTGGCTGGTCATATGTAGAAAGCTGAAACTGGAAACCTTCCTTACACCTTATACAAAAATTAATGGAAGATGGATTAAAGACTTATATGTTAGACCTAAAATCATAAAAACCCTAGAAGAAAACCTAGGCAATACCATTCAGGACATAGGCATGGGCAAGGACTTCATATCTAAAACACCAAAAGCAATGGCAACAAAAGACAAAATTGAGAAATGGGATCTAATTAAACTAAAGAGCTTCTGCACAGCAAAAGAAACTACCATCAGAGTGAACAGGCAACCTACAAAATGGGAGAAAATTTTTGCAGCCTACTCCTCTCACAAAGGGCCAATATCCAGAATCTACAGTGAACTCAAACAAATTTACAAGAAAAAAACAAACAACCCCATCAAAAAGTGGGCAAAGGATATGAACAGACACTTCTCAAAAGAAGACATTTATGTAGCCAAAAAACACATGAAAAAATGCTCATCATCACTGGCCATCAGAGAAATGCAAATCAAAACCACAATGAGATACCACCTCACACCAGTTACAATGGCAATCATTAAAAAGTCAGGAAACAAGAGGTGCTGGAGAGGATGTGGAGAAATAGGAACACTTTTACACTGTTGGTGGGACTGTGAACTAGTTCAACCATTGTGGAAGTCAGTGTGGAGATTCCTCAGGGATCTAGAACTAGAAATACCATTTGACCCAGCCATCCCATTACTGGGTATATACCCAAAGGATTATAAATCATGCTGCTATAAAGACACATGCACATGTATGTTTATTGAGGCACTATTCACAATAGCAAAGACTTGGAACCAACCCAAATGTCCAACAATGACAGACTGGATTAAGAAAATGTGGCACATATATACCATGGAATACTATGCAGCCATAAAAAATGAAGAGTTCATGTCCTTTGTAGGGATGTGGATGAAACTGGAAACCATCATTCTCAGCAAACTATCGCAAGGACAAAAAACCAAACACTGCATGTTCTCACTCATAGGTGGGAATTGAACAATGAGAACACATGGACACAGGAAGGGGAACATCACACTCTGGGGACTGTTGTGGGGTGGGGGAGGGGGGAGGGATAGCATTAGGAGATATACCTAACGCTAAATGACGAGTTAATGGGTGCAGCACACCAACATGGCACATGTATACATATGTAACAAACATGCACATTGTGCACATGTACCCTAAAACTTAAAGTATAATAATAATAAAATTAAAAAATTTTTTGAAAAGAAAATCCATTTGCCCATGTTAATGAGCAGATTTTCACCAAGTACTAATGATGAGAGTGATATCTCAGAGGATAGGGTGGCCCAGAGAATAGCTGAGATTCCTAGGAAATGTAGGGCAATAGATAGCAAAACTGACCCACAATTAGGTGATCGGGGAGATGAGGAACACACTTTTGCAGCAAAGATTTGTGACTGAAATATGTTAGAATGAAAGATCTGAGACAGGGCTGACTAATACCTGGATGTCCATGTGAGAAGTAAAAGTCGTTGAAGTTCTAGAAGTAATCTGAATGTAAGAACTCCAGGTTTCAAGTTACAGACCTGGGCCCATTATCTGTTTCTCTCCCTCACCAGGCACGGGACAGCAAGTCTTGTAAGCCTTAATTTTGTCATCTGAAAAGTAGCAGTAATAAGGGTGCTTACCTCATAAGGTCGCCATGAATATTAAATAACATATGGTTTTAAATGTTTAAAATAGTGCTTGGTATCTATATATGTAATAAAAGAGGATAGAGAGCTACTATTCTTATAATTATGTTATTACTCATATCATTGTAAAGGATGCCTGTGGGGGGTGATAGTATATGAGGGAAACACTAAGACAGTGTCTGGCACAAGTTAGGGGCACAGTAAGTGTTTGTTTTTAGAGTACTCTTCTCTGAAATAATGATGGTTTGGCCATGTGATGTGGCAGATTGGGTTTTCAGTCAGGTTCATGTTCATTGATGTCTATTCCTGATTATCTCTGTGGTATTTGGACGTCCAGTAAAGAGTTCTTCATATCTTCTCAGTTTAGTATTCCTTTTTTGTCTGTGTTAATAAGTACATTCTGCTCTAATTATCATAGTTAACCACAGACTGAATATTTAAGGTTTAATCCCACAATGGTAGCAGTCCAAATCTGCACTTTGTGCTGTAATATATTCTTTTTCCATAGCATCATCTCTACTGAAAAGCATTTGGTGGATATTATGTATACATACACATGGATATTACATGTGTTTCTAAGTTTTCCAGACACTGGTTATTGCATTCTCTCATGGGGGGAAAAGTGAGTAGTAACCAGTGACACTGGTTTTTGTTTGCTTAATTCTACTACTAGGTGTGATGTTCCTTAGAGAGATAATAAAATAAGAACATTATAATTTTTTGCAAAGCTCACACCTTCTGGGCCAGAGGAGCAGAAAATGCATTTTAAATCTATAGAGCTAAAGTCCAATATTTGGGTCTTCTCCTAACTTAATAGGTATGTGTCTTAGTCTGGGTCTCTGAAAGCAGACTGAGACCATGTCTCATGTGAGGTTGTTGAGGTTGTTTACTGGAGAGTGCTGTGGCAGGGACCAAGTACACAGGGAAGAGATAATGAAATAGGAAAAAAAAAAAAAAAGCCAATTCAAGGAAGCATTATTAAGCTAGCAACCAGAGAGGATAACTAGAATTCCATCCCACTAGATCTCTTCAGGAGCTTTATGAAATAGGTCTCGTACTATCCACCCACGTATAAAAGAGTGAAGCATTTACCTGCTGTCACCTGATACCTGTACATGTTAACTCCCATACATTTCTGGCTTATGCATAGGTGAGTACTAGATGTGTTTCTGATATAGACAGGAGACAGGGAAATACTGGGTAGAAGTGAGTGGTTCCCCGGCAAAGGCCCCACCCTCAAGCCTGAAGACCTGTGGACCTAAATGAGGACAGGCATTTCTGTTTTTGCACCCCAAAAGTTGACTTTTGGCCCACCATGAGACCTTAGCAGGCACACACACAAGTGGCTGAACGTTGGGACCAGCAGACCAGACAGTGGAACAACATGGCAGAGAAACAGAGAAGAGGAGGGATGCCTGGAGGCCAAGGGGGAGTTCAGCCAGGGGAAGTCAGAGAACAGTCTGGCCACTGGGTGGCCTGATTCCAGGGGAAGCCCACTTTCCCACTCCATCCCCCGGTTCTGGCTCCCCATCCATCTCACTGACAGCCGCCTCCACCACTCAATAAAACTTTGCACACATCCTTCCAGTGTGTGATCCAATTCTTCTGGTACACTGGGCAAGGACTCGGGATACAGAAGACTGTCACACTGGCCCCCTGCCCTTGCGATAAGGCAGAGGATCTATTGAGTTGATTAATACATATGCCATCTGCAGATGGCAAATCTAAAAGAGGTTGGTAACACATGCCCACTTGGGCTTCGGGAGTTGCAGACACCCACCTCTAGATGCTACCATGGGGCCAGAGCCCCAAAGCACTCAGGTTGGCCTCTGCACCTGCCCATCTGCCTGCTCCCCTGGGGGCATGAACTGCAGGGTGACCAAGCAATGACACCCCGTCACACGTCCTGCAAGAGAAATCAGGGAACTCTCTTGTTTCATTTCCATGAGGTATTCAATACAAGCCATCAGAGAAGTCCCTGAACAGGAACCATGAGGTATGTAGTATGGGCTTCATGTAGGGCTTTGCCTGTTGTGCCTGTGCAAACCTAGACAAAGCCAGCATGGAAGTCGTCAGAGCATGGAAGTGGCCAAAGCAATGGGTGAACTGATGTAGTGGATGGGAGATGCCAGATACACTGTATAAAGTTACTATGTTGTTTAACTTCTCCAGAGCTCAGTTTTCTCATCAATTAAATGCAACTCAATTTAACCCATCAACTAAACATGGAAATGCACTGTTCGACAGACACCATGTTAGATAGTTGAATAAGATTTAGGTTTTCAAGCATGGGTTCCAATTTTGTCAAATGAAATCTCATGCAACCCTCTTAAATGAATCAAACAAATGTGTAGCTGTATAAATTGAAAAGGGGCATAAAGCCCCATATCCCATTCTCCGTTCTCAGTCCTAAACTTCACATGTAAGGGACCCTAGAACTCAGAGGAACCCAGTTTAGATGTACTATATCAGGTGCCCCTTCAGTTCACTTCATCCTCTATGTGTTATGTGATTCTGTGGAACCCAGAAAAATTGACTCCCACAGGGATTAGAGAACAAGCACTTTTAGGACACTTGCCAGCTGCCATGGAGGCTGACACATATTCCTTATCATCTAACTTAGGCAGCACGGAGAGGCAGCTTTTGCTTAAAGTAAGATCTGTCAAGCTAAAGAATGTTTCTTTAATCACACTTATATGGTATGGTCCTTGAACTTGAATATCAGTGAAGCAGAAAAACAAGTCCACTCCTTTAAGAGAATGCACAGCAAGCCACAAACTGGGAGGAGATATTTGCAATACCTGTATCTAACTAAGAAGTTAATATTAAAATATGTAAAAATGAACTCTTACAAACCCATAAAAAATGATTTTAGAAAAAACCTCATGGGCAAAGAAAGTTGAATGCCACAGAAGATATGCAAATAACCAATAATGTGAGATGTTCAATTTCATTTCTCAGAGAAAAGCTCATTAAAACCACAATATGATATCATGCCATATCACCAGAATAATGAAATTAATAATTGACCTTGTCATGCATTGATGAAGCTACAGAACAACTGGAATTCTCATACACTGTAGTTGAGTATAAATCAAAACAGTCATTTTGGAAAACTGTTTAGAAGTATCTTCTAAAGTCTGGTCTATACATGCTTTGATTCAATTTTTCCACTCTTAAATATATGCCCTATTGAAACACATGAATGTGTTCACAAAAAGAACATAAATGTTCATAGCAGCATTACCCATATAGCCCCAAACTGGAGACAATCAAAACGTTCATCCACTATAGAATGGACAAAGCAACTATGGAATCTTGATACAATGAAATTCTGTACATCAATGAACATGAACAAACTACAACTGCATACAACAACATGGATGAATCTTGTAAATGAAATGTTGGACCGTGCACAAAAATGTACATATTTTAGTATTTCATCTACATATAGCTTAAAAGCAGAAAAACATAATTAATATGATTAGAAGTCAAGATGATGGTTGTCTTTGGAAACTTAATGACTGCAAGGGAGTATGAGGGAGTTTCTGTGTGCTGTTTCTGTTTCTTTATTTGAGCGCTGGTTACATGGATATACTCACTATATAAAAATTTACCAAACTGTACATCTGTGATCATTGTACTTTTTGCCTGTAGTTTATATTTTGAAAATGTATACACACTTGCATACAGACAGCATGCATACACACATGCACACACAGAGAAATCAACTGTGTGTACAAGGTCTTTACTGTGGAGCTAAGTGCGAGTCTCAAAATCACTGAGGGAGGGGACATCACTTTTTTCTAATGGAGAATCTGTTTCAATAAAAATGTATAAAACAGTTCTGAGAAATACTGATTTGATGGTTTGAAGTAAGAGAGTGTCTTATTTGTGGATATAAGAAATTCATTAGGTCATTGAAACCATGCATTGATTCATTAGATCTATAAATATTGATCTTTTGAGCTTCTTTTTAAAAGGCATTACACTAGGTACTTAGGGTGATTAAAAACAAATCAAACAAAGGTTCTGTCTTCAGAGAGCTTACAGATCTACTGGGGAATTAAAATATGCATGCTGTGAAGTGGAAAGAACTCACTACCATAAAAGAGGTACACAGAAAATACTGTAAGAGTTTTGAAGTGGAACAGGTCACTTATGGGAGACTCAAAGACGACTTCATAGTAGAGAGGGGCATTTTCACTTATACTTCTGTCAAAGTAGGTTGAGTTTAGTCATGTGGAGACTGGTGGGTAGGACTAGCTAAGGACCACATTGAGACAGATAAAAGGCTAAACTGGGGAGAATGAGTCACTTTGTCCAGAGCCACAGAGCTTTAGAGTGAATAGGTCCATTTATTTGTTTACTGTGAGTAGATTCATTCATTTGTTAATTTGACAAATGTTTACTGAATTCCCCCCATAGGCCAGGACTGGGAATATAACGGTGACTAAGCATTCTGTTCTCTCCGTCCTTGTAGACACTTGAAAGACTAAGGGAAGATAAGTAGGTAAATGAGTGTTTGCGATAAAGCACGATGCAGGTTATGATGGTGCTGGGAGAGCTCAGATCAGGGCTACACAACCCATGGGCTCAGAGAGGGACTCACAGAAGAAATGTCATGTCAACTAAGATCTGAATCATGAAGTGGGGTCAAATCTATACTGAATCTTAGATGCCAGCCTGAGAAATGTGAACAGAATAGGATATTTTGCATGCATAGAAATTTGAAGAAAAAAATGGCATACTCCAATCTGGTTTTTTTAAAGCGGTTGAATCTTGCTACCACACAGCATGAATGGAAAGGAGGAATTAAGAATAGGAGAGAACACTTAGCATATTTCAGGTGAAAGATAGTAATGTTCTGTGCAACTTTGGCTAGACAAAAATAGAGAAAGTGATATATTATATTTGAGAGGTATTGGAATGGTAGACCTGAGAGAATGTGTCAACTGATTTTATTTTGGATTATTTTGTATGAGGAAAAAAAAAGGGATGCAAAGATTGTGAGGCTAGGTAAGTTGTTTCCTGTGCAAAGAGGAAACTCAAAGGAAGAGGCATGCCTGGGATAGATGGGACACTGGTGGGGGCTGCTGAGAGAAGAGAGGTGTGAGACCTGCTTCGGATGCACGCATTGAATTTGAGATGTCAGAAGGAAATATCCTGAAATCCTGATAGAGAATTTTAGACAGATAGAGTGTTAGGGTTTGGGAGAGAATGCTAGAGCTAGAAATATAGATTTGGGAGTCTTGTATTACCTGAAAGTATTTATTGAATCCATGAAATCAATGAGATTGTCAAATGACAAATTGTATTGAGAGAAACGGAAGCAGGAAGCCAGTAGTGAGACCCAGGGACAGTGGCAACATTCAGAGGGGCTGAGAAAGAAGGCAGAAATGACAGAGGAGGAGTAGGAAAGAGGGAAGGAGGAAAGTGCCAGAAAATCATCAGAGCAAAGTTTCAGGAAAAGAAGGAAGTGGCCCATAGTGTCAGATGTGATAGCAGTTTCATGATACTAGAGCCTTGCTTAAAAAGAAATGCTACTGTTACATGTATATTGCCTTGGGGAAGGCAATGTGTGAGAAGGACAGACAGAATTGATAATCCTATATTTAATATTTCTCCCAAAGTCAGTTTCCTGTATACTGGAATCCCTAAGAGTTTAAACCAAGTGCTGTGAGCATATTTTCACTACAGCCAAGACTTTAAAAACCAAACCATTTGAAAATGGTCATTTGGGTGCAAGGATTTTGCAATTCTGCCTTAGTGTCTACATAAAACAGCTCACTTGAATGCCAGCCTAAACTAGAAAGGCAACAAATACTTAACAGCAAAATGTCCTTGATGTTTAAAAATGCTTGTGACAGCATAACATGAAACTAAAAGAAAGGTATTAAAAAATACTAGGCAAAGGCAAACAGAGGCTAACTTTTTGAGCACATATTCATCTCAAACAGATAAGAGGAACTGCCTATCTGGTGATGGGAGTCTCTCTTTTGAAAATTTTTATATTAAAATCTGGGAGCAGTTGACATATGTTAATGTCCAAGTGCATCCAGACTTGTCATTTCCTCTCTCAGGCAGGTGCACGTCTCATGTCAGTTCTCTTCTTAGGTAGAATGGTTTTACATCCTGCTTCGTGCTGTCCTGGTGTAATTATCAATAGTGCCTCCTTCCACTTTCAAATACGTCCCTGAGAAGATGTTAAATGATATGTTTGCTCTGCTTCCAGATCTCCCATACACTCAGCAAAAATAAGAGTTAAATTTAGGGGCTCTGGCACCAGATGCATTAGAATTTGAATCTAGAAGCTATCATTTTCTGACTTAGTTTTTGGCAATGTTTGTTCTTGAGCAAGTTTTAACCTCTCTGGGCCTCAGCTTTCTCAGATGATAAAGAATAATTACAGAACTACTTGAATAGAGTTGTTGTGATGAAGTCACAATGTCCATAAAGGGTTGAGCACATTGCCTTGAACATACACAAGCACCCAATAAATGTTATCAGTTATCATTATCACTGTTGGTATTGTCACACCCCATCTAGAACCCTTCCACAGACTAGGGTTAATTTTGAGCTAAGATGTTTTGCAGCTAATGAACTTCTCACATTCCAAAAGAGTGCCCTTTTCCCAGTGTCAGACTTCCCTGCAGATGTCGTTTCCCTGGTATTAGTGCAGTAAGGGGTGCCCATAATAATCTTTCACCCAAGTGGGTTTAGACCAACATCAAGCTCACTATGGGCTATACAGTAATCAGCAATCACTCCTGGGCCCAATCTGAAGACAGAGATAGAAGCAACAAATTATAAACATACTAAAACTATATAACCAGTATTCTGAGTTCATACCACATAAATTCATAAAGCATTTTGTTATCCTCACATGTATTATTACATGTATAACAATGTGAGCCTTGAAAGAAAAGTATTTTTTTCTTTTAGTTCTAAAATTCAATTTTGTCAACTGAAAAATGAGTCTTAATTCTCCACCTTCTACCACTTCAGTGAACCAATGTAGATGCAAACAGTCAAAACAGAACCAAATTATTATATGGATTTTTGCACTGCTTCAGAAGTCAGAAAATCAGAAAATATGCAAAATCCTCGTTTGCCTTATGTAATTTCCACTATCAGTTTGGACCACAAGTCTGGGTCTCATAAATTGTATGGCACAAGTAATGCAATAATACAGTCACTACTTTGCCTTTTTATGTCTTTTTCTGCAGATGGCCTTATTACCAGATTCTCTTTGGTTGATGAAAAAGTTACATCATTAGAGTCATGCTTAATGAAAAATGCATTGCTTCAGTATCACCAGTTGCCTGCATCTGGTCTGATTTTCAGAACTGTAGGTTTGCATAGATTCTCTGCAGATCATTGTGTTCAAGGTGTTTAAGTCTGTATATATTTGTGCTTTTATTTTATTTTACTTTTTTGAGACAGAGTCTCGCTCTGTCACCAGGCTGGAGGGCAGTGGCACAATCTCAGTTCACTGCAACCTCCACCTCCCAGGTTCAAGCGATTCTCCTGCCTCAGCCTGCCAAGCAGCTGGGACTACAGGCGCACGCCACCGCGCCTGGCTAATTTTTGTATTTTTAGTAGAGACAGGGTTTCACCATGCTGGCCAGGATGGTCTCAATCTCTTGACCTCGTGATCCGCCCACCTTGGCCTCCCAAAGTGCTGGGATTACAGACATAAGCCACTGTGCCCAGCCAATGCTTTTAATTTCTATTGTATCTCGTCTTCATGGATGACATTGATGTTTGTGGGTATTCGTGATTGCCTATTAGAACAGCAAAGGCAACAAGTGAACTTCGATATGTTCTGTTCCTAGGAGTACTAACTCTGTTCCTGATTGGTTTCAGCTGAGTGGGGGCAATGGGCAAAACCCGTGGGGTTCCGGTTATAATAATGGGAGGCTTGCAGGTCCTCCAGCAGACACAGGCTTCTGCTGGCTTTCCAAGGAGTCTCAGCTGCTGCACTCTGTCCTTCCCTCTCCATGTGTAAGAGGTTTCTGGACCAGAAGCAGATCACAGAAAGAAGCAAAAATCTCTTAAATTTCAGATTCTAGACATATTTGCTAAACAATATATGATTCCCTGTTCAAAAGACTACAGCAACTTACTGCTTTGAATGATGCATCTTACCTTCTGATTGCCTGAGACTTGTCTGCCTCAAATGAAAAGTACATGATTTCTCCCAAAATATTCATAAGCAGGGCAGAGAAGTAATTAGGAACCTATTATTTTGCCAGCAGGGACCAGAGTATGAATTTTAAGCTTGCTGCTGACTACTTAGATAACTTCAGGTATCCAATGTATCTGAACTTCATCCTTAAAATTTAAATTATAATAGTAGCCACTATATAAAACTAATGACGATTACATGAGATAATACAAGCAATGTCTGATACTCAGTGTTCAATAAATGCTGGCCATTACTATCTATTAGCCCTTCATTTATCTGGAGCATTTTGGTTCTTGCAGCAGTACGGTTCCCACCTAGACTGAAACCCTAGATCGTGGTATATGGTTCTTCCTCATCACATCCGTCAGACTTGGTTGAGAATACAGTACAGTACAGAACCTCTTCAGACAGCTACTGCCTCTGCCTTCAGAAATGTCGCTGCTCTGAAGATAGTGCATAGGGAAGGAGCTAATGACAAGTTACTGAGCTGGAAATAAAGGGGTAAAAAGAATGCCTTTATGGGCGCATGAGTTTTCAAAACCTCTCAGCATATCTATGGGACTTTATTTGGAACCAGTGCCATCTGTTTACCGATGTCTCTGACAGAAATGTGTCCGTGAATTTGGACCCTTCTTTATTTTCCCCCTCAGCTGTGCAGTGTAGCCAGATGTTCTTGTGTTTCAGAAGCAACCACATCCATCAAGCTCTTCGCGGGCCTGGATCGTTCATGCTTATGTAACTTCATTTCTCCAGCAGTGAGACTAGTGTGCTTGCTTACCCACTTTTTTTTCCTTATTTTTTTCTCACATTGCTTTAAATTAAATTAAAAGCCAGCACTGTCACTAATTAACCAAGAGTGGCACATTTGTAAACCTGGATTTGCCTGGTTGCCAGTAGAGAAAAATCCCTCTGCACTCTGCCAAAACCGTGTTTACCAGGCACCATTGGTGTCTTGGCAATGCTGCTTGAGTTTTGTCAGAACATAATGTAGCTGTGTAAAAGATGTCCTTCGGAGATGTTAGCTGACTTGCCTTGTTCCCAGACTTAAATATGCTGTGAACTAATTAACACCAGCGTGAGAGTAAACACTCAAATATCGTTACCTTGCGAATAACAGCACACAAATTTCTGTGCATGGGTTTCTGTCTCCTAAAAAAAGAATGATGATGGTTGTTATCACAGGAAGAGAAAATATTGGGAAAGTAAAGCACTGGCATCTGCTAACCAGCATTCTCTTGTCCCAGTTTCTAGCAATCTTAAATCTCTGAGGTAGAGCCATATTATTCGAAATGTGTGTCATAAGTATTGCAGACTTGGACACAGAAGGGGGAACTGTGACTTTGGGGGCAAATGTGCCATTCAGAAGGTTTGAGAAGGTAACCTGAATTCATGCTAGAAAGAATTTTTTGCCTTCTCTCTCTCCCTTCTGACAACAGAACAGCTTCACTGACAACAGGGCCACTTGAATTCAGGGACTTTTGACTGAAGATGACCTTATTGCTTGGGAAGAGCCTGAGGTTGACACCTTCTGGGCTGTGGAATAAATAAATATGCTTACTTCCTCTGATCCTTGATCTGAAATAACTCTGACAGTGGGAATTGGAGATTCCAAGTGCCCAAAAGAAGTGAGCTTGAAAAGCAGAACAGAGACAAGTTTTATTGAAAAATGCTTATTTTTACACATTACAATGAAAGTATTCACTTTTTTCTTAAAAACTTCATTTTTGTCTAGAAACACAGAATAAAAAGTTACCTTTATATATATACTCTATAACAATGCTGCCCGTAGAACTTTCTGTGAAAATGGAAAGGTAATCTGTGCTGATGTGGCCACTGAGCCCTTGAAGTGAGCTAGTATGACTGAGAGTTAGATATTTACTGTAATCTTAGTTAATTTAAATGTGAATGGTCACTTGTGGCTGTGGCTACTGTACCGGGTGGCATACCTGCTCCACAACGTATGAACTATGGCCTTGTTTTTATTTTTGCAAACCTTTTTAATGTTTGGCATAATAGAAGATGGCTGATTCTCATATCTGTTTCTGCATTCTACCTGTTATAATCGTTTTTGCTGAAGTTTGTGAAGAAAATATGACCATACCCAGATATATACTTGGAAAGGGAGATATAAACTCAAGAATTAAGATTTGATGGTTCCTTTTGGCCAGAACCGCCATCTTCCAGTAATTCGCCAAAATGACGAACACAAAGGGAAGGAGGAGAGGCACGCGATATATGTTCTCCAGACCTTTTAGAAAACACGGAGTTGTTCCTTTGGCCACATATATGCGAATCTATAAGAAAGGTGACATTGTAGGCATCAAGGGAATGCATACTGTTGAAAAAGGAATGCCCGCAAGTGTTACCATGGCAAAACTGGAAGAGCCTACAATGTTCCCCAGCACGCTCTTACGTTGTTGTTAAGGGCAAGATTCTCGCCAAGAGGATTAACGTGCGTATTGAGCACATTAAGCACTCTAAGAGCTGAGATGGCTTCCTGAAACGCGTGAAGGAAAATGATAAGATAAAGAAAGACGCCGAAGAGAAAGGTACCTGGGTTCAATTGAAGCGCCAGCCTGCTCCACCCAGAGAAGCACACTGTGTGAGAACCAATGGGAAGGAGCCTGAGCTGCTGGAACCTCTTCCCTATGAATTCATGGCCTCGTACGTGTTAAAAAAATAAAAGACCTCTGGACTGTAAAAATGTTTCCCTTCATTGAGTAGAAGTGTGGTGTCCTCTCCCCCAAAGCAATATTTAAAGCAAATTTTAATTGCGCTGTAATTCATATGTAATGTCTTTACTATTCAAATTTAATGTATTTCTTGCTGAAAGACGTGACGTAGCTTATTGTGCAACAAATTACTCAACTGGTTAGAAAATGGCCAGGTATTATGTATGAAATATTTGTACTGGTTTGAACATAGTACCTCTAAATCATCAAGGAAGAAATAAAATAATTTACAAAAATTTTTAAAAAAAGATTTGATAAAATTTACAATGTTTACTGCCTTACGAAAGACTCTGTTGAGACAGAACCTTACTCTGTTTCCCAGGCTGGAGTGCAGTGACATAATCACGGATCACTGAAGCTTCTACTTCCTGGGCTCAAACAATCTTCCCACCTCAGCCTCTTGAGTAGCTGGGACTGCAGGCATGCACCACCATGTGCTGCTAATTTTTAGAAATTTTTTGTAGAGACGGGATCTCATTATGTTGCCCAGGCTAGTCTCAAACTACTGGGCTCAAATGATTCTCCCACTTCAGCCTCCCAAAGTGCTGGGATTACAGGTGTGAGCCACTGCACAAGGCCAAAAGATGTTTTTAAATTAAATTAGCTTTACAAAATATCTTTTAGTGCCACTACCTTCATTCATACAGGCACCAGCAGTTTTACCAACCATTGCATTTGTACCAATAGTACAAATGCCAATGTCGTAAGTAAAAACAAGTAACACCAAAGTATTATCTTATAAATAGTTTAGACTTCTCAGGTCCTTTAAAAGAGTATCAGGAACCCCTAGAATTCTGCAGAGCCCACTCTTAGAAGTGCTCTAGAATCTTCTTGTCTTCCCCATCCTGCACTCCCCTCCTCCCCACCCAGTCAAACACACATACCACCCTTTTATCTAACAGAACAGCTTAGCTCTATTCTTGGAGACCTTGGAGCCAACCAATAACAAGGACCTCGATTTTTTCCCCCAAGCAATTAAGTTTTATTTCCCAACAAACATAATTCCCACCTTAAAAAGAATTCTGGTGCCATTTGTAAGAATTATTATACTCCTTGTTTACCCTCTCCCATACAAACATCTGTAAATTTTTATTTCATCCCCAAGCTAGTACTTTCAACCTGTCTGCTGGAAAAATCCACCAGGATATGTACCTGTAAATAATTATCTGTTTCTTTGTTTCCTTTTTGACCTATTTCTGCTGTAACACAGTGAGTTTCTTGAAAGAAAATGGAGTTTATTTTATAAATATTAACTGGATGGATAGATGCATGATGTACCAGCTGTGTCTATGGACCCCTCTCCCACACTGACCTGCTTCTCTTCTTGTTTCAGTTGTCTTAATGGTCCTCCCCTTCCACTCATTCATTAAGAGTACTCACTTGAGCTAAGCATCATCTTTGAGCATTTCCTCTTCTTCTGTATAATATATGTGAAAATCATGAGACATAGCTAGTCCTTGGAGAGAAAGAAAATGCATGACTACATGCCATTTGGGTAGGTTGTTACCAGGCTATTGTGAGTAAAATATCTGTCAAATTGGTATTTTTAATTGAAAAAAAGAGTTATGTTTTCTTTTAGCTTTCTGGTTTTCAATGTAAGACTTGGGTGAAATGAGCTCTACTCATATCACCTGGCAATGGCAATGTGCATACTATATTTTAGGAAATTGTCAAAAACTTTAAAAGGATTCTCACAGCTCAGCTCTATTTAAAATTCAAGAGGGAAAAAAATTTTTTTTAAAGTCAAGAGGGCTTCAGATGTCCTCCAAGCCCTGGTCTTCCTCACGCTAAAGCTTCCAGAGCCAAACATTGGAGACCCCATTTTTAGCAGAGAACCCACAGCCTCACATTATGTGGGGACTCAAGGTACCATATTTTAGCCACTAAATTTATTTCTGGACTCTTGTTAGTGACTACATGAATTCTTTAGGGCCCCATGGCAAGGCGATCTCCAGGGATTTTAACACATTCTGAATTTGGGTTGCAAAGGAGTCTGGAGACTGTTGCTTTCAGCTGGAGCCCAGAAGAACTGACAATGAAAACTGCAATAAAAGCTCCTGGTGACCTCCTGAGGCAATACTGCTACTTTTGAAAATAAACGTATTTACCTAACAATCACTTAGAAGGAAATTTTAAGATATATGATTAAAGTGTATTAAGCTACAGATATAAAAATCTAATCTTCAAAAGGAAGCACAGTATTGTGGTGTAAGAATTGGATCACAAATAAGAGATCTCTTTTATAGCCCTGGTTTCACCCCCAACTAGTTATATGAACTTGGACAAGTAATTGAACTTCTTTGGGTTTCAGCTTCTAGTCTATATATAACATGTGACCTGAACCATAACTTTCTATTTATCTTTGAATTCTCTGGCTTTCTCAATCCATATAATCCTTTGCTTTCCTATTCTGATAAACCAGCCACACACTTGTAGCTTTGCCTTTTGTGAACATGAATTCCTAATAATTAAACTGAATAATGTCCCCTCAAAGTCTTACTTAAAACATATACTTCAGCTTGCCTGTACGAAGCTACCTGTCTTCTCTCTCTCTCTCTCATCAGCCCTCATGAGATCCTGCTTTAATTTATGTGAGTAGCTTGCAAGACTGAACTAAGAAAGGGCTGTTTCTAATATAGTAAATCAAAATAACATCACATTCACTTGAAACAATGTTTTTGAAATTCAAGTTCAAAACAGGTAATTCAGACTTCACAAATACTTTGGCTTCACACTTGCTTTCCTTCTCTACTATGTCTTCAGTGACATTGTGCAAAAGGGCAATTCCATTTCCATAGGTTACATTGACTTTGCAGAGCTGAAGAATCAAAAAAAAAAAAAAAAAAAAAAAAAAAGAATGAAAAGAAAAGGAAAAAAAAAAAACACCAAGAAGGCTTGGTTTGGGCCTAGGAACTAAATAAGCACAAGATAAAAATCACAGTGGAAGTGAGTGTCATTGAAATAAAGTGACTTGTTTTTATCGCAAGGCTATTTTCAGTTAAGTCCACTCTAATTCTTATCTTTATTCAACCTACAAGTTATAGATAATGCATGACTATATTAAAATTCTCTTCTTGGCCTGAATCTCCTATCTCCAGTGGACAAGCTGGGTCCTTGACAACTTGATTGTATGTGTGTTGATTTTTAAAAGACAACATGAAATCTTTAAAGTTGGAATTTCCTGATTATTTTAGACCAGGTTCTACATACTGCACTGATACTACAGAGCAATTTTAGAGAGCAATCGTAATTGCATTAAGTGACTTCACATGATTAGTAGAAGCAGAAGGAATAGGTGATCTGGATTGTTTTTGAGAAAGCTGTTAATGAAATATAATATGCATGTAGAAAAGTGTAAAAATCTTAAGTGCTCAGTTTGATGTATTTGAACAAAGCAAACACACCCCTTTAACTATCAGACTAAGAAATGGAACATTAGCACCCAAGAAGCCCCATGCCCTGCCCAGTCACAATTCCCCAAAAAGTAATCACTGTCATGACTTCTAACAACATGGTTTAGTTTAGCCAGTATTCGAAATTTACATATATCGAATTATATAGTGTGTACTCTTCTATGTCTGGTTTCTTTCACTCAGTAGTGTGTGCAGCAATTATTCATGTCATTCATGTGATAGCAGTTCTCATTGCTGTGTAGTATCTTATTGCAGGTATCAACAATATATTAAATATCTATTAATATTTGTGCTCTTACAAATAGTATTTTGGGAACACATGCATATGCATTTCTGTTGAGCACAAACATTTAGGTAATAAACTATGCATACTATATATATTAATGGAGACTGCCAAACTTTTTCAAACAGCTGTACCAATTTTCACACCCATTAGAAGTGGGTGAGGCTTCTAGTTTCCCTACACGCTTACAATCTGTTGATATTGTCAGTCTTTGTTATTGTAGCCAATTTGGTTGTATCGTAGGAGTTTTATATTTTAGTCAGAATTTCCTTGACAACTAATGAAGGTAGATATTTTTCATATTCTTATTGGCCATTTGGATGTGCTTCTTAGAGAAGTGCTTGTTGAAATCCTTACCTTATTTTTCTACTGACATATCCTTTTGTTACTGATAGGTAGGAGTTTGTTATGTATCCCCAATATAAGTCTTTTGTATGTGTGTGTGTATATGTGTGTGTGTGTGTGTGTGTGTGTGTCTGTGTGTGTGTATTCATTGCTAATGTCTTCTCCCTCTCTGTAGCTTGCCTTACCACTCTCCTAATGGTGTGTTTTAATGAAACTGTTTTAATCTTAATCAAACTTTTATTTATAATTAGTGCTTTTTCAGTCCTGTTTTAAAAATCATTCTCTCCCCAAGTTTCATGAAAATATTCTCTTTTCTTCTAGAGGTCCTAGAGTTTTGCCTTTTACATTTAGATCTATGAGCCACCTCAAATTATGATTTAATTCTTCCTCTATAAATATACATCTCAACTGACATCATTTATTGAAAATAAAATATTTTCCTTCACTGCATTGCAGTTACACTTGGTTATGCCCCAGGAGACTATATATTTGTGAATCCATTTCTGGATTCTCTATTCTGTTCTATTGGTCTGTCATTGAACCAACACCTCACTGTCTTAATTATGAAACTTCGGAACAAATCTTGATATCTGACGGTGTTAGTCCTCCAACTTTGTATTTCCACAAGGTAGCCTGTCATTTGAATGTATATGTTAAAATACGCCTGACAATCTTCACACCCCTACCCCACCATTGCAACAACCCAACAATAGCAACAACAGCAGCAAAACCTATTGGCATCTTGATAGGAATTGTAGTAACCATATATGTTAGTTTGGAAATACTAGAAAAACTTGAAAAAATTGTGTCTCATGAATTTGGAGTGGACACTACTTAACTCACTACACTGTTATTAATCATTCTACATGTGTTACTGTACACACCCTTTCTATGATTGGTTACAGACAACTTAGCAACCCCTAGTATGTTAATCTTTTTTTTTTTTTTTTTTTTTTTTTTTTTGAGACGGAGTCTCGCTCTGTCGCCCAGGCTGGAGTGCAGTGGCGCCATCTCGGCTCACTGCAAGCTCCGCCTCCCGGGTTCACGCCATTCTCCTGCCTCAGCCTCCTGAGTAGCAGGGACTACAGGCACCTGCCACCACGCCCGGCTAATTTTTTGTATTTTTAGTAGAGACGGGATTTCACCGTGTTAGCCAGGATGGTCTCAATCTCCTGACCTCGTGATCTGCCCGCCTCGGCCTTCCAAAGTGCTGGGATTACAGGCGTGAGCCACCGCGCCTGGCCATTAATCTTGAATATGATTACTGCATATACCAGATCCTGCCACCCTACCCATCTGACTGTAGGTTTTACAGAACTGCAAATGAAGAAACCCTCATTTTGACACCATTAAGATATAAAATGGCCCTCTCTGGGGAGCAGGTTGTCATCAGCAGCTGAAATCAGTAAGACGCTATGGCCAGAACTGGGACATAGTTCATAAAACGTACACTTTACAATTCAAAATTGTAATTCAATTCAATTCAAAAATTCAATTCAAAAATATGAGAATATTTTTAGAATTTAATTAAAAAATAAAATATTGAGTCTTCAGTCTATAAACATGGAATATGCTTCTATTTACAAGTTTTTAAGTGTGTCTGAATACTGTGTTTAATTTTCAGTGCAGAGGTCTTGTATGTCTTTCCTAAGTATTTGATAATTTTTGAGCTATTGTACATAGTACATATTATTTTTAAATTTCAATTTTCTACATGTTTGTTTTATTTATTTTTCCTGGATCTTATCACTGGTCTGCTATAAACTACACCAAGCTGAAAGCAGAAACGGAGACCTACTTAGATTATAAGTAACTATTATGTTAACAGAATTATCTTTGCATATATGAAAAAAGAATGTTGCTCTGCAGAAACACTAGTTATATTTGATCTGTAGTGATCCTAAAGGTAGTTATGAGAAAGAAAATTAGAAAGTGAGTTTTTGATTTTGTTTTTTGCTCAGTTCTGAGTATCTCTTTTACTGTGAGACTATGTAAGTGCATTCTCAGCAAAAATCACAGTAAAGGGTTAAGTGGACTAAATCGGATTTGTACTGCCTATGAAGGTGCAATAAATGGGCACATAACTACCCCAGCATGCAAAACTCTTCAGTGTAAATGAGCCAAACCGCTAGTTATTTGTCAACTGCTCTATCATTATCCTGTGCGCATCCACCCCTAATAGGGGCTGTCAGGTTCATATATGGCTTGTATGTTGTGAGTTGTTGTGTCTCTCCTGATAAGTTCCTGTCAGTTGTGGATCTATCTGGTTAGGAGATCAGAGCAAGGAAAAAACAGTGCAGTGATTGACAGTGATCAGAATGGGGTGATGGAATGTGGGACATGGAGAGAAATGGAGGGAAGATAACATAGAAGCATAAAGAATAAAAAATTATATGCTGTGTGGTTGAATTCATCCATCTTGTAGCCTGATTGGTAAGCCTCACATTTAAAAAATAAAAATCCTAATACTATTTTCTTCCTAGCAAATGCACATGGAAAATCAATATAACACAACCAGTAAAATAAGTCTCAGCCCAGGAAACAACCCTTCTTTAAGTCCACAAAAAATATATTCAATATGTAAACACATTTTCACATACTTTTATATATTTCTAATAATAAAAGCAAATATGTGAGT